>NC_000006.12:8544848-8696363 GCF_000001405.40 Homo sapiens | reverse complement strand
ATTTCCATTTTTGTCAGCATTAAGACCTCATTGACAGCATGTATTTCCACCTTCCGTGTCATAGATTAGAAAGATAAAAACTGAGGTGCACTTAACATGAAAATTATGCATTCACCCTCAAGTGAAGGCTATAAGGACATCACAACTCAGAACAAAGGTTTAGGTTTCATAGTAGTTTAAATGGATCAATATGAAGACAGAATTGACCCATTACTGGAAAATAAAAGTATGAACTTGCTAAACTTGAAAGAACTTTGGTGGCAACAACACCTAATTCCATGTTCATGTGGCGCAAGTGGTTCTGTCTCAGCAAAACAACATCATATGCCACAATAAATTGATCCTAATAATTCAAACACTACCCTGATTCCCTAAGAAATTACAAGAAGTGCCTTATGAATCCTTCTGATGCTTTTTCTTCTCTAATAAGATTATGGGTCAGTAACCTCAAAGGTAAATTTTATTTCTATTTTTAAAAATAAAGCAGATTCAGCAAGTTAATGTTTTATTTTCTCCTCTATTTTACAATTGAGATATATCTAAGCTTCAAAAGAAAACAGAAACGACTTTTACCCTGACCTCATCATATCTTCCTTATCTTCTTTTGACGTATACTCTCTATATTAATTGGTTCTTAATTAAGCTTTGTGCTTCGGGATTTGAAATAGCTTTAGAGTATTGGTAGCCAGTTTCTACTCTTGTTCTTTTTTTTTTTAACAATGTTGATTGAAAATTAATTCAATGTAGAAGAAAATGACGATGTACTATGTAGCAACGTGGCCTGTGGGTGCTCAATTTAAAAATCCTGTCAATTAGGGTCGTAATTTCAACTAAAGTTTGCATATAGACACTAAAAAGGCATCATCCTAGAGCCTAAAGGCATAATCCATGCTCAGAAGAATCTCTTTTGTTAGTCAATGAAGATATTATTCTTTACTTGGAGAGAGGACAAAAATATTTGTTTCTGGCTTTGAATTTCTAGTTAAACAATATGAAATTATTGAGGGTAACTGTACCCTGCACAAGGTCTTAATGTAACATGGAGACCTGAAACACACACACATACAACTTTCTGAATGTTCCTGTAAAGCCAGCCCCCAGCTATAGAGATCTGAACAACATTTGATTAAGATTTAGATCTTATTGCTTTTTTCCTTACCCAGTGGGAGTCATTTTGTTTTTTGTCTGTTTAGAGCAAAGAATTCCTAGAAAACTATATTCAGATGGTTCATAACAATCAGGTGATTGTTCTTTTTCTTATTTGTAGACTTGATTTTTCTCTTTAAAAATTCATATTTATCTATTGTCTGATTATGTTCTCCATAAATCCAAATGTTACAATGATGGATAAGAGTATAATAATTCAATTGCTTTAACAATGGCTAATAACAAATGGAAAAATATATTCTTAGCTTACTTAATGCAAATCCACAAAAGCCTTTTTAATTTTTTCCCCTATTTTCTAATATTGAAACATCATGCTGCCACATTTAACAGCAGGTAAATTGCTAAAACCTGAGCCAGCATTACCTTTGCTGAAAGTCAAATAAGGACATGTAGGAACTATATTAATTTTGAAATATAAACTCATATTTCCTTTTAAACAATATTCATAATATGTATGCCATTAACACAGAGTATTAACCAGTCTAGCACATTCGGATATTTCTGGTTCTGAGTAAGAATGAATATTTACTAACAAAATTCTGGGAAAACTTGAATCTATTAACATCAATCATTCATGTCCCAATGTCAAAGTATTCTAGTTGCCTATCCAATGGCCCTTTTCTTCTTTTCCCCTAGCAATTGAACTGTGGACATTGTGACCAAATTGTGCACTTTGCAGCTACATTGTGGCAAATGACCAACTCCAGACCCATAGTATAGGTTATTGGTCATTCCATAGGTTCTATGAAACTGCTGATAATTCTCCTTAAAAAAGAGATCTGACACCGCTGTTTCTCAAATTGTGGTTCATAGTTACTTGGGAGTCTAGGAGTTCAAATATGATTTTTTAATGTTTATTTTTTATCTTATGTTAAAAAGAATGTATACAATTTTGAAAGATGAAACCTCCATTTTGCAATGAGGTTTCTCACTTTAAAGTCATCATCAGATGGCTTTTCTTTCTGAGCCTGGATTACTCCCAAAGCAGGGTCTAATGCAAAGGTTTGCTTGCACTTGTTCACACAGGAATGTGGTCCCAGGGAGAAGTACATGCTGAAGAATAAAAGAGAGAAGAAGAGGAAAACCATCCCAAAAATGTTTTATCTGCTTAGCAAATGCTATGGGAAGCTGGTGCTTGATCTCCCAGTGAATACTGAGGAGACTTTGAAAAAACATCACAAAATTGCCTGGTCAGGAGATAAAAGAGGAGAGTAAGAGGAGTCCCACAGGCGGTAGTTTTCCCACTTTTGGATTGCACACAAATTAGTGCAAAGTGGCTTCTCAAGAATGTGTCCTGAAAAGGCATCAGAGAAGACCAGGGCAGGAGCCAAGAGGTGAGTTGAACGGCTCAAGCTGAAGCACTGGATGACTGCTAGGCTTATCAAAGCCAGTATAGTAGCTAGGTTAAGAGGTGGAGCCAGGAGAATTTTGAGGGATAAAATACAATCTACCATCTGTACCACTCAGATCCATTTGCGCACTTTATTATTCCAGTCTAGTACATTGTGATGGTGCTAGCTAGGCACAATCTCAGCAAGGATGTTGTACAACAGAGCTAGTAGAACAAGCTAGATTACTCCTGTTACATCCGAGCCTGATATTCACTACAGCTCTCCCCAGCACGTGGGGATTACAATTTGGATTACAATTCAAGATGAGATTTTGGGTGGAGACACAGCCAAACCATATCATTCTGCCCCGACCCCTCCCAAACCTCATGTCCTCACATTTCAAAACACAACCATGCTCTCCCAACAGTCCCACAAAGTCTTAACTCATTCCAGCATTAACCCAAAAGTTAAAGTTCAAACATCCCTTCCACCTATGAGCCTGTAAAATCAAAAGCAAGTTAGACTTCTCAGATACAATGGGGATACAGAAATTCGGTAAATACACCCATTTCAAATGGGAGAAATTGGCCAAATCAAAGGGGCTACAGGCCCCATGCCCTAATAGGGCAATCATTAAAGCTTAAAGTTCCAAAATTATCTCCTTTGACTTAATGTCTCACATCCAGGTCACACTGATGCAAGAAGTGAGCTTCCATGGCCTTGGGCAGCTCTGCCCCTGTGACTTTGCAGGGTACAGCCCTCCTTCCAGCTCCTTTCATGGGCTGGCATTGAGTGTCTGCAATTTTCCAGGCACACAGTGCAAGCTGTTGGTGGATCTACCATTCTGGGGTCTGGAGGACAGTAGACCTCTTCTCACAGCTCCAAAAGGCAGTGCCCCAGTGAGGACTCTGTGTGGGGGCTCCAACCCCACACTTCCCTTCCCCACTGCCCTAGCAGAGGTTCTCATTGAGGGCTCCACTGCTGTGGCAAACTTCTGCCTGGGCATCCAGGTATGTCCCTACATCCTCTGAAATCTAGGCAGAGATTCCAAAACCACAATTCTTGACTTCTGTGTACTCATAAGCTCAATAACACGTGTAAGGCACCAAAGCTTGGGGCTCACAGCCTCTGAAGCAATGGCCCGAGCTGTATGTTGGCCCCTTTTAAATATGACTGGGACAGAAGCAGCTGGGATGCAGGGCACCATGTTCCAAGGCTTCACAGAGCAGGAGGGCCCTGGGCCTGGCCCGTGAAACCATTTTTCTCCCGTAGGCATCTAGGCCTGTGATGGGAGGGTCTGCACTGAAGGTCTCTGACATGCCCTGGGGACATTTTCCCCATTGTCTCGGTGATTAACATTCAGCTCCTTGTTACTTATGCAAATTTCTGCAGCAGGCTTGAGTTTCTCCCCAGAAAATGGGTTTTTATTTTCTATTGCATTTGTCAGGCTGCAAATTTTCCAAACTTTTATGCTCTAATTCCTCTTGAATGCTTTGCTGCTTAGAAATTTCTTCTGCCAAATACCCTAAATCATCTCTCTCAATTTCAAAGTTCCACAGATCTCTAGGTCAGGGGAAGAACGCCACCAGTCTCTTTGCTAAAGCATAGCAAGAGTCACCTTTATTCCAGTTCCCAACAAGTTCCTCATCTCCATCTGAGACCACCTCAGCCTGAACTTAATTCTCCATATCTCTAACAGCATTTTGGTCAAAGCCATTCAACAAGTCTCTAGGAAGTTCCAAACTTTCCCACATTTTCCTGTCTTCTTCTTCTGAGCCCTCGTCTCCTGGTTAACTGGCTGTTAACCAGTTCCAAAGTCACTTCCACAATTTTGGGTGTCTTTATAGCAGTGCCCCACTACCTGCTACCAAACTACTGTATTAGTCTGTTCCCATGCTACTATAAAGAAATACCCAAGACTGGGTAATTTATAAAGAAAATAGATTTAGTTGACTCACAGTTCCACATGGCTGGGGAGCCCTCAGAAAACTTACAATCATGGTGAAAGGCACCTCTTCACAGGGCAGCAGGAAAGGGAAGTGCAGAGATAAGGGGGAGAAAGTCCCTCATGAGAACTCACTCACTATCATCAGAACAGCATGGGGGAAGTGCCCACATGTTCTAATCATCTACCACAAGGTCCCTCCCCCAACACGTGGGGATTACAATTTGGACTACAATTCAAGATGAGATTTTGGGTGGGGACGCAGCCAAACCATATTACCACCTGAGCTCCATCTCCTTTCAGATCAGCGGCAGCCTCAGATTCTCACAGGAGTGCAAACCCTATTGTGAACTGCACATGCAAGGAATCTAGGTTGTGCACTTCTATGAGTATCTAACTAATGCCTGATGATCTGAGGTGGAACAGTTTCATCCTAAAACCATCCTGCCACCCTCTTCCCCTGTCCATTAAAAAATTATCTTCCATGAAACCAGTCCTTGTTGCCAAAAAGGCTGGATACCACTTAGACAAAATGGAACAATCCTCTGAAAAAAACAAATGGTTACAAGAAACAATTTGAAATAATTTGAATAGCTCTTTAACTATTAAGAAAATTGAAATTGTAATTTTTAAGAATTCCCAAAACATAAATCTCCAGACTTCATTGAATTTACTGGAGAAGTCTACCAAATGTTTAAAGAAAATTAGACAATTCTAAACAATAGCTTTCAGAAAAATAGAAAGGAGAGAACACTTCTCAATTCATTCCATAAAGCTAGTATTACCACCAAAACCAGATAAAGACAGTACAAACAGAAAACTACAGATCAATATCCCTCATTAATACAGACACAACAATAATTAGCAAAATCTTACCAAATAAATTCAGCAACATATGAAAAGAATTATGCATCATGACTACGTGTGGTTTACGGTAAGAACACAAGGCTGGTTCAGCAATCAAAAATCACTGTAGCCCACCATGTTAATACAATAAAGAAGGAAAATAAACATGAATTTTGACAAAATGTAACATCTATTTCGAAGAAAAGAAAGCTGTCGGAAAAATCGAAATACAGAGAAACTTCCTTGACTTAATAAAGAGTACCTGCAAAAAACCCTACAGTTAGCATTATACTTAAGAGTGAAAGACTGAATTTTCTCCCTGTGACTAGAAAGAAGGCAAGAGTGTCCACTCTCACTACTGTTAATCAAAACAATGCTGGAAGTTTTAGCTAGTTCAAGAAAGCAATAGAAAGTGTTCACATTGGATAGGGAGAAATAAAACAGTCCTTATTTGCAAATGACATAATCATCTAAATAAAAAATCCCCAAAAATAAAAAAAAACCCAAAATGAACAAAAACAAAAAATACCAATAAAAGAATTCTGGAACTTATAAGTAAGCTCATGAAGGTTTCAGGATATGAGATAAATATACAAAAATCAATTGTATTTCTATACATTAGCCATTAACACAAATATTTAAAATAAAAGATAATTTACTGTACAATTTAAAATTGCTCAAAGAAATAAATATATGTGTTAATCTAATAAAACATGTATAAGATTTGTATGTTGAAAACAAAAGACCAATAGAGGAAACCAAAGAAAATTGAAATAAATGCATAGCTATAGCATGTTCATGGGATGAAGCACTAAACATAGCAAAGGTGTCAATTCTTTCTAAATCAATAAGCAATCTTACCAAGATCCCAGCAAGGTGTTTTTACAGACATAGACAAGTTGATTTTTAAATGTGCATAGAAAGGCAAAAGAATCAAGAAAGCTAAAATCATTTTGAATTAAAAATTGATCTACTAGATGTTAAGACTTATAGCTTCAATAATTTAGATGATGTGGTACTGGCAAAACATAGACACAAAAACCAGTGGAATAGAACAGAGATCCCAGAAATAGACCCACACGAATATGCCCAATTAATTTTTGACAAAGAGGCAAAAGCAATTCAATAGAGGAAAGGTAGCATTTTTGACAAATGATGCTGGAGCAACTGGATATTCAGAAGCAAAAGAGAGGGAGAGGAAGAGAGAGAGAGACAGAGAGAACCCAAACCCAAGTCTCATATCCTATAAACTCAAAATAGATTGGCTCATGGACTTAATTGTAAAAAGTAAAACTGTAACACTTTGAGAAAACAGTAGGAGAAAATCTTCAGTATCTAAGGCTAAGTAAAGAGTTCTGAGATTTTACACTAAAATCATCATCCAAAAATAGAAAAAAAATTGACAAATTGGACTTTCATCAAAATTAAAAACTTCTGTACTGCAAAATGCCCTGTTACAAGGACAAAATGACAAATTACAGACTGGAAGAAAATATTTGCAAACCACATATTTGACAAAGGTCTAGAAAATATTAAAACTCTCAAATTTAACAGTAGAAATAAAAAACAACAATTCAATTATAAAGTGGGTAAGAGAGATAAGGAGATATGTCATTAAAGAGAATACACAGATGGCAAATAAGCCCAAGAAAAGATGTTCAATATTATTAGTCCTTTGGAAAATTTAAATTAAAATCATAATGATATATCTAATTTATCAGAAAGGTTAAAAAAAAAAGTTACAAGACAAAATGCTGGGAGGAATGCAGAGAAACCACCAAATCACACCTACTATGTAGGTGGGAACATGAAATGGTCCACCCACTCTGGAAAACTGCTTGTAGGTTCTCAAAAATCTATACATGCAACAACTCTCCTACAACCTAGCAATTATTCTCCTGGACATTTCTCTCAGAGAAATAAAAACATGTTCACCCAAAGACATGAGCACAATTGTTCATAACAGCTTTATATGTAATAGCCTGGAAACAACCCAGATGTTCTTCATGAAGCAGTGGTTGAACTATGTAATATTCATACCGTGTATTGCACACTCAGCAATAAAAAGGAATAAACTACTGATACATGCCACAGTCTGGATGAATCTCCAAAATAATTAGATGGAGTAAAAAGGCCAATCCAAAAAGTTACACCCTATATGATTCAAGTTGTACAACATTTTTGAAATGAAAATATTATAAACATAGTATTTAGGCTGCCTGGAATTAAGGAGGGAATGCAGGCAGGAGGGAAAGGCAGGTAGCAATAAAAATGCATGAGAGATGTTTGTGGTAATGGGAATGTTCTCTATCTTGCGTGTATCATGTGTGAATATCCTGAGAGTGAGAGTGTATTACAGTATCATAAGATGTTACCATTGGGGGAAGCTGAGTACACAGTATTGTGATCTCTGCATATTACATCTTATACTGCGTGTGAATTCGCAATTACCTAAAAATTAAAAATTAATTTATAAATTATGTGGTAGCAGTAATCCCATTATTTTCTTCAACCTGTGTCTAAATCCAGGTATAATTATTTTTATGTGCTGCTTAAGTAATAGCTAAATAGTGTGATGTTTATTACTTCCAGAATGTATTACACTGCATTGTGAAAGAGTTTGAAATTATTTTCAGGTGAAGAACAAAAGAAACAATCAAACCTCAAACTGTTGCCTTATTATTTTCTTTTTGCTGATTTTATACTAAACTATTTTAAAATATCCTTCTGTACTATTTTCTAATTGTAATTTTGTATTTAATTCATAATCCAAGGGTCTTTTAAGTATACTGATATGTTTCATTTCATTCTAATGATTAAGAATGGGAATAAATGACAGTATAAATTTTTTCACCAGATTTAATGGAACGCAATGGAATTAAATGACATTAAGTTTTACTCATGGCAGAATTGACTAAGTCTTCCACTTTTCTTCCAATGCTAAAATATAATTGAAACAGTAGAAAAATGGTAATACATTCATTGATGCTTGGTAAGATCAACCACATTTCATCAGTGAAATACATTATCACATTATCTACGAAACACATTGGGCTTTACTCAATACAAGGGTAGCTTTAAGCTTTTCAGCTTGGGATGGGATTTGTAGTTATTGTTTTTATTTGTTGGCAGTTAACACAAAAAAGTCAAGGACTTAAGAAGTAGGGCTTTTTCCTTAGTAATAGAGCATTAATTTAAGATTCCAAAGTGACTAAGTGATACATGGTTACTTAAAGGATATTTATCAAGCATATGTCCATGTTTCCAATTCTCCCCATGAAGTTAAATAGCTGTAACCTCTCAGGAACTCCAAACAAAGATGTTCCAGACTCAGCTGTACCATATAGGAGACTCGAATGAGTTATCATGAAATCTCATTGCTCAGTCAGGCACCCTCTTAACACTGCAAGATTACTTAGAGAATCCTGTAAATTTTAGTCATGTGGCTCAGAGAGTATTGCCCAGTGGTTCAAAGTAGACCTATTGGAGGGTAGTTCATGGTTTATGGATCAGGGAAGAGGTTAGGAAAGTCATAATTTACCTCTATGCCCTGCAAAGAAACCAGTGTTAGAATCCAGTCATTTGAAGTTAATGCGTGATCACTTAAAAAAAAAAAAGAACGGTAAAAAATTGAAGCATAAGAAGAATAAAAGGAAAGGTAAGAAAAAGAGCGGAGACAGCCAATCAAGATCAATAATCATTGACCTCTGTTTTAGCAAATTTAAAGAGTAAACATAATCCTAGTTCTTCTGATTTACTTAGTTATGTTGAAGTTACTCTAATGGACATTTAAAAATATTTGTCTTCACAAATATGCTTAGCCAGCCCTTTTAACAAGCTTCTTGGGCTTTTGTCAATCAATTGGATATATAGTATTTTTTTCACCATTTTGTACAAAGTAACACATAAATTCATGTCCAGTGTTTAGACCGACTGCAGTAGCATTTATGATACAGCAAATTTATGGATAATTCTATTTGCAACCCAATGTTACATTTATAATCAATACCTTTAACCTCAAATTCCATCCTCCACTCATTAAAAATTTCAGAAAAGTCAAAATGAGCCCCTTTTCAGAAAAACATTGGAGACTTTGTTGTAATGAAACATCTCCCAAGTCCATCATATACTCACACATCATAAACTTATTCTGTGTATGCCGTAGACAAACTTTTTCAAATAACTCTAAAATGAGGGACCAGAGCACATAGATTATGAAGTTTCAAAAAGTGGAATGTGATTTACACTCTTTCATTATTTTCTCAAATTAGAGTTTAGTTGCCATGATTCTGGGAGTTGACTGGAGCCAAATACCTATGAAGGGAAAGAATATAATTTTTCCAATATCTGGGGATTGCCATATTCCGTCAATGTAATTTAGCATGTTCAGTAAATCCTTATATAATTTTTAGAAAAAAATTAAAAATCACCTAAATGTCTAAAAGCCTGAATAATAAATTTTAAAAATCATTATTTTTTTGCTGCAAATATGAAACACCTACATCAAACATTGTGCAAGGCATGTAAGCCAAGATTACCAATTTGTAAGATTACCACTTGATTCCCAAACCTGTTTCTAGCCCTGTGTTTCCCATTTCTTTGAATGCAATGTTACCTTCACTCTCCCAGGCATAGAGATGAATACCGAAATGCCTTTTAGCTTCTCCCTCCAACCTTCCCTGTAACATCCTCCCTTCTTTTGGCTGTTCACTACTTCTGATTCCTCTGACGTTGGTCCGGTATCTGTTTTTCCTATTCAAGTTCTCATTTTCTCACACCTGAGTGATTGTGGAATTCCCCACACTTCTCACCTAGGAGCTTCCTCTTCTCTTAGCCCATGTTAGGCACCCATGTAAGATTAATCTTCTTGTACCATCTACTGTATCATAATCCTCTCCTGCTTCAAAACCTTCTATAACTCCCTTACTGCACAGAAAATTCAAGTTTAATTGCTCAGCCTGACATTCAAGGCCTCATGTGATCTGAATTTCCTCCCAAGGACCCCTCCTGTCCACCTTTGAGCTGTAACTCCTAGGATGATTTCCCACGACAAATGTTTTCTCAAACACATTTGTGTGCAATTTCCTATTTCCTACAGCTGTAGATAATTTCTCCGTGCTCTGGTGCTCTACCTGCATCCCCCAATAGCAGTAATACTTTATTTGTACATGTGCTTTCTTTTCCTTTTTTTTTCTTTTTCTTGAGATGGAATCTCACTCTGTTGCCCAGGCTTGAGCACAGTGGCACGATCTCGGCTCACTGCAACCTCCGCCTCCCAAGTTCAAGCAATTCTCCCCCTTTAGCCTCCTGAGTAGCTGGGACTACAGGCACGCGCCACCACACCTGGCTAATTTTTGTATTTTCAGTGGAGACGGGATTTCACCATGTTGGCCAGGCTGATCTCAAACGCCTGACCTCGTGATCCACCCACCTCAGCCTCCCAAAGTACGGGGATTACAGGCGTGAGCCACCACGCCAAGCCGCTTTCTTTTTCTTGATAGACTATATGTTCTGTGATGTTAGGTACCATGTCATATCCATCATGGTGTGATTCACCATATCTCACAAGTGATGGGGTAGACATAAGTGAGTATTTATTGGATAGACTGACATATTCTTCTTGAGAAACAAATTTTTAATATAAATACTTGCAAATAAAAGGGCCCCCTAGTTTTCCATTACAATTTGTTCACATTTCTTACATTTTATTGGTAAGATAAATGTAGATAGATCCAATAGATGAGTTTTAAAGCCATCTTTTCTGAATCTGCAGTCCTTCATTGCAGTGCTGCACAGATTAGTTAATAGGTTTCAGTTCCTTGGTTAAAAAAAAAATTCTGAAAATTGCTTGTTGTTATGTTTTAAAGAATTTTGCAATCTATTTTCAACAAAAACATAAATCTAGTAAATAAAATGGTGATGAAATAATTATGAGAACAATGATCTTTAAAGGATTCTTTTTTCTATTTTAAATGCCACCTCAGAGGCTGATGCATGGTTTTATTTTTTCACCCAGTGCGAAGAGAAGGCTTTTAAAAAAAAATTCTTTGTCTGGACTGAAGTAAAAGAACTATAAAAGACCTTAAAATAAAGTCACTTGGGTAATCCCCCTGCCTTGGGAGGACTATATATAAACCCAACTGGAAAGAGAGATATATTTTCAAAATTAGGAAGGGTAAATATAAACCTGAACTTGATGTTAACTTTCCTTTGATTCAACCAGGTGTTTAAACATCCTTGAAAGGTAAAAGTTTCTTTCTCCTCCTTAAATACTCTGCACTTCAGTCACTTGCATTGAATGTTTATAATCTGCTGTGAATTATTTCTCTCATCAGTGCTAGAACTAAGAAATGTCCTGTTTTAATAGAATCCATTCCAAAGTAACACAAACTTACATAACACTTGAATTACAAAAGAACTCACCACAATGTGCTTTCAAATAATCAGTTTCCTTAGTGCATTTAAAATATCATTCAATTTATAACTTCTCAGAAACATATTTGTTACGCAAATTGAGGTTTATCTATACTTTGAATGTTCGGTTATATGGAACCTATGTAAAATGAATAAAAATATTTTAAAACTGCACCATGATTTCAGCATATATAATAAAAGCTCTGAAGTTGGAATCTTTTGAAATTAAGAGGCAGGTGACTAATAGTTATTTGAGAATTTATTGTGTTGGGTGCTATAATATGTTGATGATATGTTAGTTACTATTATACCAGGCAATCAATAGACTTATCAGATTGAAACTATAGGCATCCTATTCAGCTATCTTTATACAAAAACCAAGTAGTTCAACATTATATGATTGTAATATTTTGGTAAAGACTTTGAAGCAATTGTTATGTTTTATTAAAATCTTTCACCCTACTGAAGTATTTTTCTATTCAAATAAACCATTTAATATAATGTGGACAATAATGAAAACTTCCTTTCTCTCTCTAAATGTAAAATAGTGGAACATCCATTTTAATTGTCATATATAAACATGAAAATTAAATGCCACTGAATACTTATCGCGTAGCTTGTATCCCATCCCCTTCTCATCAGAAATTGTGGCAGTGTATCTGCATGTGGCATTGATTTCTGAATAAGCAGCCAAGTTGAGGTGTGATCAGTTATACAGACAAGCTCACTGCACTTTCTTATATCTGAAACATCCCTGGAGGCCCTTACAATTTCTCAATGTCATAGACTTTAATCTTCATGGATCTTAAGTCCAAAATTAGAAAACACAGAATATCATGATTGCCTACAATATGAAATATTCACAAGTATAAGTAAAACCCATTTTCTTTATATAAAAAAGCACTTTATATTGAAGTGCATGATCAACCACCTTCTCTACAGTAACTTGCTTTTAAAAAATGAACAAATATGGAACAAATTTAAATTTTCTATCTAAACTTCTTGAAACCACACCTCACAACTATTATTCCAATGGATGTTATTTGTTTCCATTTGATTGTTTACAGCTCAACCACACTTTTAATAGCTCCCTGTATTGTAAATTCTGAAAGTTCCTGTACTGCCTTGACATCTGTGAGCCTTGCAAGGCTTCAAAGGCCTCACTATGAATTTCTCTGCTCTCATCAGATATGCAACCTCTGCACTCAAAAGGAAAGTCTCCCCACCTAGCTAGTCCCCCTATCTGCTGGGCCAGTTGCTCGCCACATGGTCCCCCACACAACAGGTTTCACTTCCCTGCCAGCCCATGAAATTATTCAAACAAGCCAATCACATCCTTCCATAGGAACCAGGGGTCACCTCACCCTCTTGTTACTACAAAGCCTACACTCCTATGCCCTTTGGGGTTCACTCTCCTCCTGAGCCCATACTCATGTGACTCTCTCTGCATGGAGCACAGTGTCCTCTTCCCCTGCACTGCAAATATGTATGGCTAATAAGCTGCTGTCAATCTCATGGTTCCCAAGTTGGGTGTTATGTATTTGGTTGTCTTGTAATTGGAATTGGGGGTTCCTCCTTCACCAACAGGGTGAATAGAAGGTATAGAAATACTCTTCTAATTTTTAAAATTCAGAGTTAGTAGGTGAACATGTCATGGAAAGGATTTTCTGTTTTACAGCCCTGCCACACCCATGCTGCTGGATGAAGAAGGCAGGAATAATGTGAGGTAGAAACCAGCTCTGTGCCTACGTTTGGGTGTAACCAGGCTGTGTGGGACACAAGAATGAAGGGAACTAGGACAAAGAAAGACCGAGGAACATGGCAGCATCTCTGACATTGTTCTACACTGGGATAAGTTTTCTCTTCTCACCAAAAATTATACTGAGAGTCTAGGAGATATTTCAAACATTTAGAAAATGAGACTGAATATTTCACAAATCTCATTAGATGTCTCTCTTACTATTTTAACTTAGGTTACCCAGAAACCCAGAGATTAGGACTCTAGAGTCAGTGCTTCATTTGGGAAGTGAAGAAATGGGATGAGGGTTAGCAGGAGGTAATTACAGTGTTTTATCAAGCAAGATGTCACTATAGATATTTGGAGCTTATTTCCACTGGGAGACTCTGAAAGACAGTGTATACATTCACCTCAGAGAAATCTCAGTCAAGATGGAGGGAGATGGGTTCCACAATCCTGAGATGGCTGAACTCAATAAGAATTAATTTTCAGCTACCCTTATCCTCTCTACATAAGGATCACCCTCTTTCAAACAGCGCACAGAACCCCTGTCCCCCGACATCAGTCTCTATTGCTTGTCCAGCTTTATTTAATTTATATTTCTTATCATCTCCACAAATACTACAATATTCTTTTTCAGTTGCCTGTATCATCTACAGGGAAGATCCAAATGACTGGAGACTTGTTTTGTTCACTTCTGTAACACCAGGGAACAACCTAGTACATTGTAGGCACCCACTAAAGAATGAATGAATGAATGAATGAATGAATGAATGAATGAATACATAAATTCCATGGGGTAAAGTTCTTTGAGCAGTGAGATTTAACACTGGGGCAAGAGGACCAAACTCCTACTGGTGGGCTACAAGAAAAGGTTAGGGCTGAATGTGGGGCCAAAGCAGGCACACATGGTTCCCCAAAGGTGCAAAACCACTGAGAGAAGCAATGGACTCAGCGACTCTTCTCCAACATCACTCCTTTGTGCGACCGGCCCATGGGAAGCTAAGATGAGTCCTTCTCATTTGTCTTACCAGCATCGCTTTTTTGAAAGTAATCCCATATCACTCCTCGACATGTTTGTAGTAGCACAGTCTATGCTATGTGGGTCTTTGCTGCACAAAACTATTTTCCCCACTAAAATGTAAGTTCTTGAAAGAGGAAATTGTGTCCAATCCACATGTGTACTCCAGTCAGAGGTGGGCAATCACGGCTTCTTAAAAAATGAATGAATTCATGATCTATTAGTTATTATTCATTGCATGTTTAATGGTGTGGCTTTCAGGAATAGGGTAGGTGGTCATTCTGATCCGTAAAGCAAGGATTTTCACCCATCCCTCATGCATGCAGGTAAAAGGAGCTCCCTTTGGCATTTGAGTCAATACTATTCAACTTTCTGTGCTGTCTTATTTGGCACCATATTTTCTAAGACGAAAGCTATTATAGACCTTGGTTTCTATGTTGCTTTGCTTGTGGTTTTTCTCCTCTTCCCCAGCCTGCTAATGTCTCGGTCCCTCTTGAGGACTCTTGTTCCATTGTTAGCCTCTTAGGTGTTGGTGTTCTTCAGATCCTTCCCTGCACCACATTCCATTCTTACTCTAGATATTCTCTTCGAACTATCTTATCGTTTCCAAGTCTGTATTCATCACATACAGTCTCCTGAAGCCCAGGTATTTTACTTCAGATCTGATCCTTCTTCTGAGCATCCAATCTGCTTACTAACCAGCTAATTGAAAATCTCTGCTGGGCATCACATGAGCCCCTCAAACTCAGCAGATGCAAAACTGGGCTCATCATCCTTCTCCCTACACCTGCTCTTTTGCACGTATTTCCTATTTTCAGGAATAGTAAAAATATTCAATCACATTTATCCAAGCTGGAAATTCTATCATCATTATTGAGTCTTTCTTTTCATTCACTCACTCATTTACAGTGAAACAGCAAGTTCAGTCTTTACCTTTTGATCTTTCTCAAGTCTTCCCATGTCTCTTCATTCTCCACTGCCCCTTCCCTATCAAGGTGGCATTGCCCTTCCTCTGGGTTGCTGCACCAGGCTTCTAATTACTCTCTCTGTCTCCAGTTTTACCCCCTCCCATACATTCCCTGTGCTATCACAAGAGTAATCTTTCTAGGACAAAAGTACCATGTTTTACTCCTCTGCTTAATATCTTTCAGGGATTTCTCATTGCTCCTAAATAAATCCAGAGTTTTATCATTGCATATAATACTTCAAATAGATACTATAATTTCAGTTCCAGCCTTGTCTATCATATCTTTCTAAGAATTTTATTTTCCAGTTATATGGCACCTTTTTCAGTTTCTCTATGTGTTAGGCTTTTTTCTTATTTCTGCAACATTTTGAGTAAGCTGTTACCTTTGCTTAAAAATTTATTGCTTCCTCTGTCTCCTTGTCTGTTATTCATTTTTCTGGTCTCAAATTAGATGCAGCTTCCACAGGCAGTCTTTGCCGACCCCCATAAATCCAAATTAGGTTCCTCTTTTATATGTTTTCAAAGCTTACCCTATCAAAGCCCTGTCTTGCAATTGTCTGTCAATATTCTCTCTTAAACTAAAAGACATGTGAGACAGAGGAGGTATCTAATCCTTTTGATTAAAGAATCTATCACAATGCCTAGCACATAACTGGTAATCAATAAATATTTATTGAATGAACTAAGGAACTACTAGTAAAGTTGATTGGTCACCCCTGAAGTACATTCAGAAAACAGGCATAGAGATATCCTAGGAAAAAAATTAAAACTTCCATAAACAATTATCAGAAATTATTTTTATCATGCTACCTATTGCTATTCAAGCCACTAATTATGTCTATGAATGACAAGTACCCCAAAGTGTTCTGTTTGATATTCTTCACTCTTTTTAGTTGGCTAATCAATATAAATGCTGCGCTCAGCAAATTCTAAGCAAATAGGGTGAAGATTTATAGATTTAGAAGTTGATTTTCATACAAATTTGTAAATATGCCTACTGAGGCCTATGAATAATTGACAAATCTTTGGGTAAATATATCTATAAATTCCGATCTCCCCACACTTTGAAAGAATGTTTCTATAGCTTTTTGCAAGTATTGCAAAGCTGAATGATTTGATAGGCATAATACCAGAGCTGGCTGCTGGAATTTTCAAGTATGTTTACCAGAAGAAAAAAAGTGTGTGCGTGTGTGTGTGTGTGTACACGTGTGGATGCATATATTTGTATATATACACATGCATTAAATACATTTTTCAGATTGTAATTACTAAGTTTGTTCCTAAGGAAAGTGTATGTTCTAGAATGAGGAGGATAGTTCTTCCTGAATGCAATGATTCAAATGCAGTAAGCCACATATATTACCTCTGCTACCTTTTCATCCCTAAAACCTGAAAGATTCAGTGAAAATAGTGTTAAGCAGTTGGTCACTGGTGTTTCTCATAGAATCAAGGTTCTATTTGGTGGATGTTTTCACAATTTGCATAAAATTGATCTAACCTGGAAACCGATTTTCTGTGTCTAGCTCAAAACTAATAATGAAGTGTAGTATTTGCTGAATACCACCTAGCACTTTCATTTTTTTCCCCACAAGTTAAAAATGATCAGTGACAAGATAACAAGGTGTAAATTAAAATTTTTCTCAGAAAAGGTTTTGGGAAAATCCTTTAGAATGGCCTACATTTTTCTGGTTTTGAGACGACCCCAGGTAGTTCCTTTTTCTTTTTTCTGAGACGGAGTCTTGCTCCGTCGCCCAGACTGGGGTGCAGTGGTGCGATCTTGGCTCATTGCAACCTCCGCCTCCCGGGTTCAAGCAATTCTCGTATCTCAGCCTCCCCAGTAGCTGGGACTAAAGGCACCTGCCACAGCTCCCAGCTAATTTTTGTATTCTTAGTAGAGACGGGGTTTCACCTTGTTGGTCAGGCTGGTCTGGAACTCCTGATCTCAGGTGATGCACCCATCTTGGCCTCCCGAAGTGCTGGAATTACAGGCGTGAGCACAAAATTGTTGAGAATCTCTAAGGCAATTTATAAGAAAAAATTCATCTTGAAATTCATCATCTGGAAATTTACCTTCTTTTGTAAATATGTGGTAGGCTACATTTTTCAGAGACAAAGGTGGTATCAAGAAATCCAACATTCCTCAGAGGAGAATGTCAGGAGCTATTGAATGTCAGTTACCAGTTATGGGTGGCTCAGAGTTTCCTTTAGAGATTGATCAGCTTCCAGGGACCAGTGCCATCCTTACTGGCTGAAATGATGTCAAAACAGTGATCTGTGATCAGTGCAAGGACTGACCTGCCCTAGCAAAGAGGGACTCCTTGTGAATGAAACTGGTGTATCCTTTCCTAGTTGATTTCCACTTCTTTTTTTCTTTTTTTGAGACAGAGTTTTGCTCTTGTCCTCCAGGCTGGAGTGCAGTGGCGCGGTCTCTGCTCACCACAACCTCCGCCTCCCGGGTTCAAGCGATTCTCCTGCCTCAGCCTCCCGAGTAAGTAGCTGGGATTACAGGTGCCCACCACCACACCTGGCTAATTTTTTGTATTTTTAGTAGAGACAGGGCTTCACCATGTTGGTCAGGCTGGTCTCAAACTCCTGATCTCGGCCTGGGATTACAGACGTGAGCCACCATGTCCAGCTATTGATCTCCACTTCTTAACTTGAACATTGGCTTTAAATTCTATTGTTTAGTTTGATGAATCTCCAACTCCTTAATCTAACCCAGGCTGATTTCCAGAGTGAAGTTTACTATTCATTTTACCTTTGATGTCATTCAAATTTTGGACCCCATTCTTGCCTGATTGTCTTAAACCCATTTTCCTAAATCTTATCTCATAAAACATTCATATACCTGACTCAAATTTTTGTTTTAGTACTCAACATTATCTCTAAGGATACCACTGCTCATAAAGGGAGGGAGGGATTTTCTGGATCACCATATGCCATTGGGCCAACCTAGAACACAAAGAGGTGGCTTATCAGGTTGTTTACCATCACGATTTTGATATTCCTGCATCCTTATTACTACATTTAACCATAATTATTTGCTTATTCACCTTCTTCTTCATTGACCCATTCACCTCCCACCCTAGATAGTTACTTCTTAGAGACAAAAAGCAGGTCATATTTTCCTATGTATCTACCCAACAGATTATGTAAGATTTTGAAGTAAAATTGTAATTATTGAAAACAGAATGTCATTAAAATGTATCTTCACAAAAATAAGAGATAAATTGAATAAATTTAAAAATGAGAGGTGAAATGTACCGGACTAAATCTTGAAATTCTAAAATTGCATTTCAGAATATCTCAACCAACAAAAAGATACTTTGATGGAAAAAACATTTACTAGGATAAATTTATATACTCTTTGAGAATAAAATGGAATTAAGAAAGGCTTTATTTTGTAACATCTAATGTTGGTGAAGGATTCAAAATAATAAATAAATAAAGAGACGTCATTTGATAAAATGTTTCTTATAAAATATTTGTCAAAGAAAATTTCTCTGAAAGAAGACAAAAGGAAATCATATTTGTGAAAATATGGTCAAAGAAACTGAATAGCCTTTTCTCCAAAGAAGATATATAATTTGCCAAAAAAGCACGGGGAAAGATGCTCAACGTCACTAATCCTCAGGGAAATGCAAGTCAAAACCATAACGCGGCACCATCTCACACCCATTACTATCAAAATAACAAATTCTGTAAGATTCCACTTATATGAGGGACCTAAAGCACTCAAATCAATAGAGACATCGGCTGGGCACGGTGGCTCACACCTGTAATCCCAGCACTTTGGAAGGCCAAGGTGGGCAGATCACCTGAGGTCAGGAGGAGTTCAAGAACAGCATGGCCAACATGGCGAAGCCCCATCTCTACCAAAAACACACACACAAAACACACACACACACACACACACACAACTAGCTGGGCATGGTGGCATGTGCCTGTAATTTCAGCTACTAGGGAGGCTGAGACAGGAGAATCACTTGAACCCAGGAGGCGGAGGTTGCAGTGAGCCGAGGTCACGCCACTGCACTCCAGCCTGAGCAACAGAGCAAGACTCCATGTTAAAAAAATTAAAAAACAGAAACCTAGAGCAGTGGTTACCAGCAGCTGGGGAAAAGGGGCAATGGGAGTTAGTGTTTAATGGGTTCAAAGTTTCTGTTTGGAATGATGAAAAAGGTCTGGGCACGGTTGGTGGAGATCGTGACACAACAATGCAAATGTCCTGAATGTCACTGAACTGTCCAACAAAAAATGGTTAAATTAGTAAATTTTATGTCATGTCTTGTTAATCATAATTTTAAAAATAATTTTTTAAATTATTAAGGTCTAAAGTGAATAGTTCATTATTTGCAAATTTCTCAGCCATCAGCCACGAAATACCAACATTTCAGTCTTCATCTGTCAAATGAACAGGGGACAAAGTGGTTATCTTTAAGCCAAACTCTGCCTGAAATAAGCTGACTACATTAAACTGGTCATGAAGTTATAAAGTCTCCATTACACTAGAACCTTTAGTTTTGTAAAAAATTTCACATGAAAATATAATTTAGTTTTAGATTGTATAAATTATTCATTATGAACATGATATATAATTTTATTATTAATAATGACAAACTAAAATGGCAGCATATTCTAGCTTTCTGAGGTATCGCCTCATCTATTGTCTCTAACTTTATCCTCAATGCAACCTTGTACAAATGAAGACAAGGGTATTAAGCAATTTGCTTAATGGCAGATGTGGGAATAAGATCTAGGTCCTCTTGGGTGTGTTCAATAATTACTTGTTTATGAACTGACCACTTGGGATTCTCCTAGAGAAAAAACGCTATGAATCTTAGGCCAGCCCATAGACTCCCTTATGTCAATTTAAGTTAAAACAAAGTTACCCACGGAAAACATTTTTTGATTATGTGATAATTTTATTCATAAAATATCCCTAATTATAAGAGCCAAATTAAGTTAAAAAATTCAATCTCAAGTCTCCCTTTGAAGTCTCAAATTTTGAGTGGGTTACAATGATCTGTGCCACAGACAAGCTATACCATAAATTACATTAAAATGTGGGCATAAATCTTATTAAAATAGGTAACCAAAGCTGGAATATAAATCATGCAGAAAGTAAAAGAAAAATATTGTTTTATTATTTAAGCAACAAAAGAATCAGATGTAATTACAACTGATAAAATGATATGATGCACAACAAAAAATTCTCAATACTAATTATGCAGATTAAAAAAAGAAAATGAGAAAGTTCGTATTAGGTAAGCTTTTCATTAATAAAGTCCATTGAAGACCTCTAAGAACAAGAAATGGTGAATTTCAGTGTAAGTATTGAGGTGGATATTGGACAGCCAATAAAATTGGTATGTGGATGAATTTTATAAAGGAGTATAGAGATGACCATCAAAGCCAGAATTTCAACAGAAGTAGAATTGAGGCAGGACTTTATACACAGTACAAGTTTCATGTACCCAAATCTGTGGACAGAGATTCAAATCATCGATTTTTTTTCATTTGAGGAAGTTGAGGTCCAGATATACAAATTAATTAGTCCCAAGTCATAGTGAGGCTGAAGCCAAGATTCATATACAGGCTCACTCTAACATTCTCAAGGCTTGGCAGAGAGGGCAAAGAGGCCCACGTATCCCATGTCACAGACCACATACCACAGCCCCAGCCTTGCCCTTTTTTTTTTTTTTTTTTTTTTTTTTTTTTTTTTTTTTTGAGACGGAGTCTCGCTCTGTCGCCTAGGCTGGAGTGCAGTGGCGCGATCTCGGCTCACTGCAAGCTCCGCCTCCTGGGTTCACACCATTCTCCTGCCTCAGCCTCCCGAGTAGCTGGGACTACAGGCGCCAGCCACCATGCCTGGCTAATTTTTTGTATTTTTCATAGAGACGGAGTTTCAGCGTGTTAGGCAGGATGGTCTCGATTTCCTGACCTTGTGATCTGCCCGCCTCGGCCTCCGAAAGTGCTGGGATTACAGGCGTGAGCCACCGCGCCCTGCCAGCCTTGCCCTTTTTACTTCCCTATCCTGGTTCCTTCATGCAGCATGAAGGGCCACACATCCTCATGCAAGCATGCATGCACTGTGGGCATCTCAGCCTGCAAGTCCAAGATCTGTCCGTGTTCCCCAAACCCCGGCACTTGCACTCCTCAGATTTATAAATGAGTAAGTCATGGGCACAGCTGAGAAGGTGGGTCTAGGGAAGCGATCAAGGCAGAGCTAGGGAGGAGACTCAGGCTCTTCGAGCAGGGAACTCTGCGCCCCAGGTACCCAGATCATGGTGCAGAAACTGGAGCTTGGGCCCTGGTGGGCACTTTCCCTTGACCCCAGGGATTCCTCATGCTGTGAGGAGGGGCATGGCTAGAATAAGCTAGCGCAGGTCCTATGAAGCATGTTCATTTCATTGGAGGCTTCCCTTCCCAGGTCTAAAAGTGGCACTTTGTATAAATCCCTTACGTTTACATAGCAATTGTGGTCAACAAAGCTGTTTTACACACATGATGTTATTTGATCATCCCAGGACACGCATGAAGTAGAAAACACAGGTGTCATTGAGGAAATTGTGACTTGAGATATGAGACTCAGCATCCCAAAGTTAGAAAGAAATGGACCTTAAGCTTGACACTACCTACTTCCACTCTGCTTTCATTTCCTCCGTTCTGTATCCACTTCCCCTTTCAAGAATTTCTCACTAAGCCATTCTTTTTGGTATGAAAAACAGTAAGCTAGATC
The DNA here is from genome assembly GCF_000001405.40 of Homo sapiens. Lineage (NCBI taxonomy): Eukaryota > Metazoa > Chordata > Mammalia > Primates > Hominidae > Homo > Homo sapiens. The sequence continues at coordinate 8,674,192 of NC_000006.12, read as the reverse complement.
ATAACCAAAATGCAGGGGCCAGCTTGGGATTTCATTCAAGATATTTGGCTTGGGATTTGGGAAATATTCACCATGAATAAAATTAATATTACATATACACTAGCACAAATTACTAATGAATTGTCTTAGTCTAGTCGGGCTGCCATAAATTTATTTTCTCACGGTTCTGGAGAATAGAAGTCCGAGATCAAGGAGACAATCAACTTAGTTTCTGATGAGGGCTCTCTTCCTGGCTTGCAGACAACCACCTTCTTGTGATCTCACATGGCCTTTCCTCAGTATGGTAACATGGAGGAAGAAAGAGCCCTGTTGTATCTTCCTCTTGTTTTAAATATAATTATTTATTTTGTTTGTCAAATAAGAATTGTATGTATTTACTGTGTCCATGTTGTTTTGAAATATTCTGTTTATCTTCTTATAAGGGTACCAGCCCTATTAAATAAGGCGCCCATCCCTGTGACCTCATTTAAACTTTATCACCTCCTCACAGGCCCCATCTCCAAATACAATTACATTAGGAATTAGGGCTTCAACATATGAATCTGGGGCCAAGGACACAAACATTCCATCTAATATTAATCCAGACATAAGATGCATTTCTATCACAAAAGTGATGCCCAGTAAGTTATTATTCACCCTATTAGAGCTGATTAAACACAGAACTGCTTAGCTCTGCTGCATTCCACAAACATATGATTACTTGCTTTGTGTTGGAAGCCTTTGAAGAGCTTTACATTCTAGATTGACCTACATATAATTGCAAATGCATACTAAGTGTGATGCCAGACACGCACAGCATTCCATGGAAGTCTGTCCCAACTGTTGCTGTTACAAGCAAAACCTAAGTCCAGATTCCTTCAGTGCTCCCCACTAGCCATGGGTCAGTATTTCTCAGCTGCTGATGGGTTCATCCTAACAAGGAGCTAGGGGAAGTTAACTCGCCCAGCATTTTTTTTCCAGGGGTAAATATATGTAAGATGATACTCTACATACAATTTTACCTCCTGCCACATTTAATCATTTTTCACTATTATGGTCAGCAAATATTTCATGTGCCAGAAATCATGCCAAGTGCTGAGGAGACAACAGTAAGCAAAACACACATGGTACGGCTCTCAGGAAGCTCATAGTTGACTGCTGACAAGCATTTTACTATGCCATGGAAAACCTTTCTGTGATGGTAAGTTTTATGTCTGCATTGCCCAAAATATGAAACTGCTTCCTAATGTTGAACATTTGTGATTTTTATAACACTGAAGTTTTTTTTTTTTTTTTTTTTTTTTTTTTGAGACGAAAACTCACTGTTGCCCAAGCTGGAGTGCAGTGGTGCAATGTCAGCTCACTGCAACCTCCACCTCCCAGGTTCAAGCGATTCTCCTGCCTCAGCCTCCTGAGTATCTGGGACTACAGGCACGTGCCACCATGCCCGGCTAATTTTCTTGTATTTTTAGTAGAGACAGGGTTTCACTATATTGGCCAGGCAGGTCTTGAACTCCTGTCCTAGTGATCCACCTGCCTCGGCCTCCCAAAGTGCTGGGATTACAGGCATGAGCCACTGTGCCCAGCCCAATGAAGTGATTTTTGTAACACTTTTGATCTGTGATTTTTATAACAATGAAGTACCTATGATAGATAGCATTGTCCACGTGTTCTATTATTTCCTTGGGATGGAGTCTAGGATCTTGTTTTAAGATTTTAATGTAGATTAATCCCATAATCAATGGAAGTAATGTTTAATCTACGTGAGATAATATATTTTAAACCCTTGTACAATAAAGAATGTCTTTTGCTTTTATAAAAGAAAGATAACACAGTCAGGTGTATAATTGTTGAGACAGAATATTTTCTTGTCAGGGATCTAGAGAAGTTTGCCATCATTTTCAGTTATTTGAAATTTGAATTGTTTGAAAATTATTTCAAATTATTTTCATTATTTCAGTAATATAGTTTGGCTGTGTCCCCCACCCAAAACATCTTCTTGAATTGTAATCCCCATAATCTTCATGGTGAAGGGAAAGACCAGGTGGAGATAACTGAATCATGTGGCAGTTTCCCCCAAGTGGTTCTCATGATAGTGAGTGAGTTTTCAAGAGACCTGATGGTTTTATAAGAGTTTGATAGTTACTGTTGTGTTCATTCTCCTTCCTGTTGCCTTGTGAAGAAGGTGCCTTGCTTCCCCTTTGCCTTCCACTATGATTGTGAGTTTCCTGAGGCCTCCCCAGCCATGCTGAACTGTGAGTCAATTAAACATCTTTCTTTTATAAATTACCCAGTCTCGGGTAGTTCTTTATAGCAGTGTTAAAACGGACTAAGACACTTAGCTTTTCAGAGATGTATGAAATCAGTTTGATTTTTCCTCTTTTAATAATATATTTTTTGTTGCTGTTGTGCCTGGATGCTTTAAAGGTTTATTTTTATTTTATTTGTGTACATTAAATTATGACATTGTACACCTTAAATAAAAACAATTTTTTCTTGTCAATTATACCTCAATAAAGCTGGAAAGAAGTTTTAGCAACCTCTATTTTTACCTGTGACCTTCCTTATTAATGTTAACTGAAACATACAGAGTCTTTTGATCTGCATGTTTACACCATTTTTTCTGCTAGTGAAATTGTCATCAATGATTCTGAATGTTTGTTTGCTTTTCCCATTAGGAATAGTTATCATTAGGTTAGAATCTCCATTCTCTATTCTTCAGATGTGTCATCTTCTTTTGAAATCCAGTATTTCAATTGAATTTGTTTGTTCACCTGTTGTATGGAAGTTCTTCTTCCCAAATTTGCCCTGGACTCACTGATGTGATTTTCCAAGTGTCAGCTCTGCTCTTCATGTCTCCAATATAAATTTTAATTATCCTACTCAATGTATCACGGCACAGAAATTCATCTCTGTCTTATCCTTCTCCTACTGGCATTGTTTTCCTTTCATTTCGCCTTTCCTCTTTTAATATTCTGTGACTATTCCAGAGAAGCTGCATCTTCATGGCATCTTACTATTAATGCCTAAAAAGTTTTGCTTTCTTCTAATTCCTCATACAAATCATTTTCATGATACACTGACTCTGAGTTTTCAGAATAATGTTTCATGTGCCTTGATGTAGAAGAGCCTTTTATGGACCCTATTCAAGTTTAGTTGTTGTTGATTTTTCTGTTGGTTCATCCAGAAATCAGGAGGTATCTGTGCTGACTCATTCACTATTTACCAGTGAACAGCAAATGGGCCCTACCCATCAACCTATTCTCCACACACTCAGGGGCTGGTTTGTATGCCCCTATTGAATCAAGAGGGTCCAATTACCACTTTCCAGTAGACTTTTTCTGGGTCTTTCTAAACTTCACATGCGTTGTCAGACCTTTTGTACTATGGGTGGATGAAAGGCATGGAAAGCCATAATTGTCAGTACAAAATGTCACCCACACAATTCATCCTAGATTTCCTTGTAGAAACAGTATCACCCATAGTATAATATGCTGCTACCAATTCTCCAGCCCCAAGGCCACCTTGCACCTGGTTGTTTTGTGAGGCTCAGCATTCCTGACTAGAGGAGACACAAGACAGGTGGCCAATACTGTGCCTCAAGGAGTGATGGTTCTGCAGGACAATTGTCTCACCAACGAAGAAGTAGACACTGCAAGAAAGCAGATCTCCCCAATTATTTTTATTACAGTTAGAGCATGGTTCCCTCTTCAGTTTAGTTCCATCATCCTTATGGTTATTAGAACATTCTTCCAGATTCTGAAATTGGATTAATGCTAGTGTTGTTTATTTTTATTTGCTTGTATATTTGCTTGTTTTTATTTTGTTTATATTTTGGTATGGCAATTTTGATCTTTCCATACTTTTATAGGAACTTGCAAAGGTTTACACCAGCATCTGTTAGCTACATGCTATTTTAAACCTCAAAAACATAAAATTTTGTTTTGAAAGTCCATTTATACAGGTAGACACATACAGAATTATTTCATTGACCATTGTGATTGCACAAAGCCAGCTAACTCTAAGCTACCATATTAAACTAGTTATGGTTGTGTGAACAGAGGTCAGGACAAAAGCCATCCAAATGCATATCCAAGTGCAAATGCACCTTGTTGTTCAATGATCAGTCACACCCACTATGTTTATGGCTTTTGATTAAAGTAATAAAAATATTTTCTCCCTAAGTTTTTATCCTTATCTGCTTTTGAAGAGACCCCCTAGGTCACTTCATACCATGCAGTAACCACTTTAACATTGTGCCAGTTCTGAAAGATTAAGAATCAAAGATAATCTGGTGAACCTTCCCCACAAACACATACATACAGACACACACACACACAACTGCGCACAAGCATACATGGGCACACATGCATACATGGTCACACATAAACACAATTAGTTGGGAAAACAAGTTAAAGAGTTCATTGCAGACTAATCAACCCAGGGCAGGGTTTTCAACACATTCAACCCATTGCAAAACTTGATCTATTAGGACACCCCCCCATAAATCAATGAAAGAACAGTTTCCTGGAGAATTATTAATATATGTTGCATCAATTTTTGCCATAAGTAAAGTTTAACAATATTGAGTCACACCAAAACATTTTGTCATTATGAGTAAGTACCTTTCAACTTTTAAAAAACATGCACAAATTAAAACTAAAAAAACACAGCATATCTTTATATTACATGAGAAGCACAAAGAGTATAATACCATAAATAATCTTTTTCTATACAAGTTCGCATCGTTATTCTGAAACCCATTTAGAAAACAATAAAATAGGGTATCATGGGAATAAGGGATCATTTTCCATGAGACTTTAACGTGTGATTACTTAGTTACATAATTAAAAGCATGACAGTAGTACAGTGCCAGGGTTCTATTGCCAGGAGATTATATCAACATAATACAGTCTATTTCACATCCTTTTTTTTTCATTTTCCAATACTGAACAAAATTGTATGTCAAGTCATCAGGTAATATTTATAACATAACCAATTTTAGTGATCAGCAAAGGGATGCCAGACTCTCACATAATGCTGCACAATAATATTGACCCGCATTTAGAAATGTTACTGTCTCTTCACCTTCATTTCTTTTTTGTTTGACTTTGTAGCACTAAAGGTCAGGAAGTGGTTAGAATCACATGGACAAAAATGAGAAGAATGTCAAAATAATGGGTGCATAACTTTTTAAAAGAGTTTTTTTTTATTCTTAAGGTTTCTATGGTTATATACAAACCACATAAAAGATAGAATAAATGTATGCCCAGTGCTGGGCCTCATGGATAGGAGACTATATTGTAAACAAACACAGTGACCTTTTCAAGCATAAGAGTACCCAGAACAGTACCTAGTACATCATCAGCACTGAAAAATATTATTAAACAAACATTAATTGGGCAATTACTTTTCTTCTAGAAGCTTCTATTAAATAGGAAAACTTGACTAATTTTCCAAATAGACTCTTACTAAAATCCTTTCTGTAAGTGTGTTTTCTTTCTGGCCAAGACCACTAATTTTTTGAATGAGACAAACCAAATTGTCTAACATCATAGACACTTCTAATTTGTATTAGTGTCCCAGCATCTGCATTAATAAAGCCATGTTATCTGCCTGTAGCCCTGCATTTTTGCTGTAGAAAGCCATGGCAATCCCATTTAAAATCTTTTAACCTATTCACTTCATGGTAGCAGCAGTAAGCAGAGCCTTCTGGGCTTTGTAACATAATAGCGCCCCTTTATCACGCTGAATGGTTTATTAGAACCTGCTTGTATTGATGATTTAGTTTTACCATGGTGAGGCCACCACTCCAGGGCTTTCCACTCTGTTTGGGGACTCTTCTGTCATTTTAATGTTTAGGGGTTTGTTTGTTTTCTTGTGAAATGGCCTTTCATTTAATTTTAGCATTATTTACATTATTTATTATCGGGAGACAAATTGAAGACTTGGGGGTTGAGAACAGTGCACTGTACCACAGAATCCCTCTGAAATCTGTAGTGCACCAATATCACCGAGAATATTCTGACTCTCAAAAGTCAACACCCAGACTCTTGTTTCAGTTACAGAACCAAATAGAAAAATAATTCCTAACCATCTTCCAAAGTTGAATTTTGCAAACCCAGCTGCTCTGTTATACTTAATGGCGTTTCACATCCTGACTAATTTCCTTCGTCTTTTTTTATTCTCCAGTTTCTGGGTATGTATGCCAAGGGCAAAAAGCATAAGCTAGGACCTGAGGTCCTAATACCAAATACTGAGTTAAGTTAAACCCCTTGCTTTTTTTTTTCATTCTATCTTTTAACTGTATTTGCAGGCATGAAATTCTGCCTTTAATTTCATTAAAAACCCTGCCTAGTTCTCTGCCCCATACTTCCATCTCCCCATTCAAGGAGGGACCATGAATTGAACCTCAGCCCACAAGATACCAGTGGGCTCAGCACCCTTTTGAGGTTAACTCTCTCCAGCCTATTTTGTAAACCTACCAATTGGGTTGGACTGGTCTTGGCTTTCTCTTCCTCCCTGTCTGAAATGGGCTTTAATTATCAATACCTTTCCCTCTTCACCCTCCCCAAACCAAAGATTTAATGACAAATCTAATTGTGTCTGGAATTTGGGGGGTTCTTGGTCTCACTGACTTCAAGAATGAAGCCGCCGACCCTCGCAGTGAGTGTTACAGCTCTTAAGGTGGCGCATCTGGAGTCTGTCCCTTTTTGTTCAGATGTGTTCGGAGTTTCTTCCTTCTGGTGGGTTCGTGGTCTCGCTGGCTCAGGAGTGAAGCTGCAGACCTTCACGGTTGAGTGTTACAGCTCTTAACGCAGCGCTTGTGGAATTGTTCGTTCCTCCCGGTGGGCTCGTGGTCTGGCTGGGCTCAGAAATGAAGCTGCAGATTTTCACGGTGAGTGTGACAGCTCATAAAAGCAACGTGGTCCCAAAGAGTGAACAGTAGCAAGATTTATTGCAAAGAGCGAAAGAACAAAGCTTCCACGAGGTGGAAGGGGACTCGAGTGGGTTGCCAATGCTGGTTCCGGCAGCCTGCTTTTATTCTCTTATCTGGCCCCACCCACATCCTGCTGATTGGTAGAGCCGAGTGGCCTGTTTTGTCAGGGCGCTGATTGGTGCGTTTACAATCCCTGAGCTAGACACAAAGGTTCTCCACGTCCCCATCAGATTAGTTAGATACAGAGTTTCCACACACAGGTTCTCCAAGGCCCCACCAGAGCAGCTAGATACAGAGTGTCGATTGGTGCACTCACAAACCTTGAGCTAAACACAGGGTGCTGATTGGTGTGTTTACAAACCTTGAGCTAGATACAGAGTGCCGATTGGTGTATTTACAATCCTTGAGCTAGACATAAAGGTTCTCCATGTCCTCACCAGAGCAGCTAGATACAGTGTCGATTGGTGCACTCACAAACCTTGAGCTAAACACAGGGTGCTGATTGGTGTGTTTACAATCCCTGAGCTAGATATAAAGACTCTCCACATCCTCACCAGAGCAGCTAGATACAGAGTGTCGATTGGTGCACTCACAAACCTTGAGCTAAACACAGGGTGCTGATTGGTGTGTTTACAAACGTTGAGCTAGATACAGAGTGCCGATTGGTGTATTTACAATCCCTGAGCTAGACACACAGGTTCTCCAAGGCCCCACCAGAGCAGCTAGATACAGAGTGTCAATTGGTGCACTCACAAACCTTGAGCTAAACACAGGGTGCTGATTGGTGTATTTACAATCCCTGAGCTAGATATAGAGACTCTCCACATTCCCACCAGACTCAGGAGCCCAGCTGGCTTCACCCAGTGGATCCCACACCGGGGCTGCAGGTGGAGCTGCCTGCCAGTCCCGCGCCGTGCACTCGCATTCCTCAGCCCTTGGGTGGTCGATGGGACTGGGTGCCGTGGAGCAGGGGGTGGTGCTCGTCGAGGAGGCTCGGGCGGCACAGGAGCCCACGGAGGAGGGGGAGGCTCAGGCATGGCGGGCTGCAGGTCCCAAGCCCTGCCCCACGGGAAGGCAGCTAAGGCCCGGCGAGAAATCGGGCACAGCGCCGGTGGGCCGGCACTGCTGGGGGACTCAGTACACCCTCCACAGCCACTGGCCCAGGTGCTAAGTCCCCCATTGCCCGGGGCCAGCAGGGCTGGCTGGCTGCTCCGAGTGCAGGGGCCCACCAAGCCCATGCCCACCCGGAACTCCAGCTGGCCCGCAAGCGCCAGGTGTACTGAGTCCCCCAGCAGTGCCGGCCCACCGGCGCTGTGCCCGATTTCTCGCCGGGCCTTAGCTGCCTTCCCGTGGGGCAGGGCTTGGGACCTGCAGCCCGCCATGCCTGAGCCTCCCCCTCCTCCGTGGGCTCCTGTGCCGCCCGAGCCTCCTCGACGAGCACCACCCCCTGCTCCACGGCACCCAGTCCCATCGACCACCCAAGGGCTGAGGAATGCGAGTGCACGGCGCGGGACTGGCAGGCAGCTCCACCTGCAGCCCCGGTTCCCACTCGCGCCTCTCCCTCCACACCTCCCTGCAGGCTAAGGGAGTGGGCTCCAGCCTTGGCCAGCCCAGAAAGGGGCTCCCACAGTGCAGTGGGGGACTGAAGGGCTCCTCAAATGCCACCAAAGTGGGAGCCCAGGCAGGGGAGGTGCTGAGAGCAAGCGAGGGCTCTGAGGACTGCCAGCACGCTGTCACCTCTCATAATGACAGTAAAAGTAGAATTGAAATATAATGCTAATTTTTCAAAAAAATATAATTTTCATAAACTAAACATAACATCACTGTGAAAAAGTATGGTATTGCTAAATTTATGCTATTTTAGATATGGAAGAACACAATGTTCTAAATTAAATTTGGTAGATAAGGATTGATTGGCAGATCTCAGCTTCCATTTAACCACAGCATGAGGAATACCTTTGTTTTTTTTCAGGCCACTTCTCAAATCATCAGACAACGAGAAAGCACTTTCTAAAATAATAATTTAAGGGCTAGTCAGAATAACTAACAAAAACCTTGTCATTTTTAAATCAATCAACAAAACCCAAAGGCTAAAATTATTCCTACCACCATTCTTAATATCAGCAATGAGGTGAGAGATTTAATTAGGAGTAAAATGATCAAGAAAACATGGGAAAAAACTAAATACCTATAAAACTTTTTCTTTAGTAACTTTGCTATGGATTAGGCCTTCAACTGCCACTGAAAAGGTGAAATTATTTATATGTCTGGCCTTGCAGATCAGATATTCCACTATATTTGCTGTGTAAACCAGCAAAGAACAAAGACAATCAATGAGGGTGGATTCTTCCAAATTTCGGCAGCCTGCAATGCTAAGATACCCTTCCTGGTGACACATCCAAATGAACTCCATCCAGAATCAAACCTTTGCATTTGTTGACCTTTGGTGGAGGAGAAAAAAAAGGCTAATGGATAAATTCCATGACTACTTGCTTTCTGGTATGCAAATTTTCTTTGGCAAGTTCTGCATAACAGAAATCTCATTGAATTTAATGAAATCGACGCAACAGCCAAAAGTTAAACCATTTAGGTACCAAATGTGTCAATCACCATTATTGTTTGATTGACTTCAAAAAGAAACCCACAAAACATCTCTGATCTCTTGTTCAGTTTCTGGGGATTTCAGAAGAAATTCAGTTAGTAACTTAACATAATTCATTTCTAGTTACTTCTTTTTTTTTTTCAGAGCTGGAAAATACTATAGTCATTGGCATTTGAACTGTTCCACAAATGATTTTTTTTCTCCCAATACGGACTGATTACAGTCTGAAGCTTCATGCATTCTTTTAATAAATTAGTTATTTGATAAAACAATAGCGTCAACAAAACTGATTCACCAAAGTCCATGCTCACCTCATTTGCAATCAGAAGCCCACAAAGAATAAATAGCATCCAGTGTGACAATCCAAACATAAGGCTGAAGTTATCTTTTTGTTCATCATTCACTAAAGTTTGACCTGAAACATGAGTTAAAAGTAACTGCCTAAAACAACAGAAGCACTCCTGCTTTCTCCTGTATAGCTTCCAATTTGTCTTTGATCGGACTTTTAAAAACAGAATCAAACAGTACTGATTTTTAGGAAAAATATAACCAGATCTCACTTCCTTACAAAATAGATCCTTGCAAATTCTATAATGTTTTGTGAATGAGCTTTCTTACTAGAGACAGCACTGACTTATGGCATTAAATAATCTTAAAACAAGTCCTGCAATGGTTTCAGTGCAAAGCTTAAGAAAACTTCCACCACTTCACTCAATATAACCGGAGTTTTAGAGAGTTCTGAAATTATAAGTAACAAAATGGGTCAATTTGGCTTTCTCTGATTAGTTTCCTTTCTAATATTCTCTATCCTTAGCATCTAGCAGGATGCCTAGTTTGCAACTGGTATTTAGCAAGTATTTGATCAATGAATAGCATTTAAAATGAATGAATCAATAAACATCTTAGTTAGCCATGTTAATTATTAAGTGATGGACAGATTTTTCAAAATTCATATCCATAAAAAGAAGTTCCTACAGATGTAGAGGATATACTCTCTATATTTAATATAGGAGTGGGTAACTGAAATTAAGTAGCACATGAAAATGAAATCTCCCAAGCAGTAATGTAACCATGTATATCAGGGTTTCTGATTCAGGTTTTTAAGTTCTCCCATTTAGTAAAATGTTTAAGTCTAATTTTTTATCTTTTTTTAAAGCACTCTTAAGTTTCATGGACCAAGTGCTAGTTATTCATTTTAGTACTTTTTTCTACAGCTTCCAGAAGGATAAAAAAGGAAGAAGCAAAAAGCCACTTATACCTCTGTTTCCAAAACATGATGTCACTATAATGAAGACAAGCAACAGGACCACAGAGAGATGCCTTCATTCAGCCTCAAGTATCCACAGAAAATTATTATTATCACCCCCACCACACACACACATACCACCAAAAAAAAAAAAAAAAAAAAAAACCTCTGCAAGATTTTTCAACTTTATCCTAGAGAGAGCCAAAACAAACTGTATTTTCTGGTAAGAAGAAAATTGGTGTTCAAAACCATAGAAAGCATAGATACAAATTATAAATTATAGTTCTGAATATTCATACTTGTATTCATTAGATTTCATTGCCTCGGTTATTGGCCATGTTGTTATGAGTATAGATATGAATCAAAGATAAGGAGTATTGATTTTTGAAACCAACCCTTCATCTTACCCTTAGTGCCACCATTTTATAGTTGTGTGATTCTGAAGAATACCAAACAAGTATCTGGTAAATATAAAATTTATACACTTTCTGCATATATATATATATGTGTGTGTGTATGTTGCTTTGAGTAACTTAAAAATCATAGATTTTTCTAAAATCTGAAATGTTATTATTGTATTATTCATAATTTCAAAGCAGAGAATGTGCAGAGAAAAAGGTAAGTCTGAGGGTAAAAAACAAATTATCTAACTAAATGTTGAGGCTATTCATAAAATGGAATTTTATCTTATTATTGAGAATATAGTATAACATTTAAAATACTTAAATAAGCTATACAGACTTTCCAGATATTTTATTTCTACCTAAACTAACATTCTGTGATTAATTCTGAGCACCTATAACATAATCTTAAACTCTAATGTGACAAGTCAGAAAAATGAGGAACTTTTTTTTTAACCCAGGCTTTCATAATTTAAAATGTAACCTTTTGGTTTACATAATGCCTGCAAGCAGTGACATAGATGTTGACAGCATTAATATCACTATTTCTGTCACTAAAATCTATAGCAAATACATTAGCAGCCACAAACGGAGGTGGTTTTTCAGAGAGCTTGCTAATTGCATTGCAGCTGTGAACTTAGTTTTGCGGCGTTCATACAGAAAAACACAGAGCTGAGAAGGAAACACAAACCTTAAGAAGACTGTAAACAGGTTGATAGCTACTTTTGAGGCCGTGTATTTGTATTTAGATTATATATCATGTTCACATTATTGATATTGTAGACTGATGTTTCCCAAATCTTGATCAAAGATATAAAGACTATCTATTAGTTTGAGACAGAACAATTTACCAAATGCCCTAAATTAAAGGTAGGAATTTAATTGAGTACAAGAGCAGATCTACATTAGACTCTAGGATGAACTCAATTCTTACTCTTCTTTAATTTGGCTATATCTACGTTCAGTCTCCCAATGCCCTCCAGGGCAAAGAAATCTCCTGTGTTCAAAGCACAAGTCCTTCAGTTCCTGGTGATAACCTTAGAGAATGTAGTCAAAGATGACCTATCAGAGAGGAGTAAAGCTGGGTTTCCAAAATAAGCAACCTTATCTGTGTAGCCTACACTTTTAAACGCCACATAGCAGGTTTGCCCTTCCATCAAAAGGCAAATTTATCCACCAGATATTCCTGGACAATGGAGGAAATGTGATTTTCAATTCTGAGCAATTAGTAATTTTTAAAAGCCATCACTCTGTTTCTATCATAAAGAATAAATACAATTTATTATCATATCTCTGTACCCCAATTTTGCTGTTTTCTTTAAAAACAGAAAAGAATTAACAGCTAAAAATCACTTTCCTTATTCCATCTGCTGAAAATCCCAGATCTTTAAGACTGGAAAGGAGTTTTTCAATTACTGCTTTCTTTCTCATTTTGTATATGGAAAAACATAGTTAGAGAGACGATGAGTATGATGAGGGCCCCTTCCAAAGTCATACCCTGGTTGGGGGCCCCAAACCCCTGGCTCCCTGACCCTGCTCATTCCACTGCCTGTCTCAGCAGAGCACCCCAAGGATGTACATTTCTTAAAAGCCAATGCTCCTCACACACCTTCAGAGAAAACATAAAGAGCGTATTCATTCATTAGATTTCATTGCCTTAGTTATTATCCAATTTGTAAAAGGATAAAGACATTTTTGCTTAAAGCATCATGATACACCATTGGGCAATGGTCATAAATTCAATATTCTTCTAAGAATTAATTGAAGAATAGAAAAGGACAGGTATACCTTTATTTGATAGCACTGCCATACCGTTAAAAGAAAAAAATACTTTCCAAATAAAACAAGTTATTGGCAGTAAAATGCGGGGTTTCCCCACCAATTTTAACATCAAATAATCATATCAGGAAGCCCCAACTGCCAGTGTCAAGAGGACAAAGGGATTCGTGAATGGCATGTTGTTAGATTAGCCTTCTTCAATGGGTCCCTCCTTTTCCTTTTATTCTCTGTTCTTCGTGATTGCCTAAGCAACAAAACAGAATCTTAATTTTATGATTGACTTAATTTATGACTTTGTGATTAACTTGATTCATGTGAACTTAAAGATGGAAGCATATCACCTAACCTATAAGAAATCATTCATGGTTCATAAGGTATTTAACTAATGCTTATTCTAAATCCTCACATATCATGATTTGCCCTACGGTGATAACCGAGAAGATAAGATAAAAGAAAATGACTCAGGAATAATTGGACATTTTATATTTGAGATTTAACATTTAACAAAACAATCTAGACTTTGTTCTTACCAATGAAGTTTCATATAGTTGAAACAAATAAAATCAGAGTTTACTAAACCAGTACTTTATTCATCTTATGTCAATTTTGAAACAAAGAGACAGGGTACTTGAAATTATATTGTTTTGAAAAAAAAAGGGGGTCCATTTTATTCTGACTCAAAATACATTATAAAAATGGACATAAAAATAACAAATTGCCAAAAATGATGAAACTTAATTCCTTAGAAGTAATAATTGAATTTTAGTTGACCTGTGTGTTTCATAAATATCAATTAAAATATTTTATTGTATTACATTTTTGCAGTTGACCTTCAATCTATGTAAATTCATTACAACTCTACATATTGGATTGTATTTCGCAGCAATTTGTGCCATAAAGATTATAAAATCAAACTGCGAAAGAATGAGAGTCAGAAGGAACGTGATAGATATTTTGGTTTAAGGGCAAAGGCATGAGTTTGAATCTCACACAGACTCTCATCTTGCTTAAGATACATGATCTTACACAAGCTGTTTCACTGCTTTGGGCTTTGACTTCCTTTTCTATATAGAGGTGGGTAAAAAATACCCACCTCATGTGCTGATTTTAGTAAAAATTAAAGGGTCACACGGTTGCGTTCAGCAGTGGCATTCTTATTATTATCTAATTTATCTTCACCCTCTTTCTTTAAATGGAAAAATCCATCCAAGAGCCAGAGCCAGGGTCATTCATGTTGGCAGGTACCACCCCTGTCGCTTTGTTTGTTTCACATGTGCCCTTTTCCCAGGCCTTATGCTCATGCTGTGGGGATAAAGAGGGGGAAAATCTTTTAATATTGAAAACTGATTTGATTCCTACTCTCAATAGCTGAATACCTAAAAGGGAGGACCAAGGGTCCCCCGGGAACAGCAGTAAGCATCTGTAGTAACATGAGATATAAAATAACTCTATACATTGCTGCTGCTTATTTCATATGTCATAACTCAAGCCTCCCACTCTGAAGTATTTATCAGTATGGATTATTGTCACTACAACAGGGCAGAAAATGGGTGGGTTGGGAGAGATGGAGTAGAGAACAAAGCCAGAGTTTAATTATAGCCACACTGGGATGGTGTCTCAGTCAGTCCAGAATGCTGTAACAGAACACCACAGACTGGGTGGCTTCAACACGGAAATTTATTTCCCACAGTACTGGAGGCTGGGAGGTCTGAGTTCAGGGTGCCAGCATGATTGAGGAGTTCTGGTAACCCTTCCTGGGTTCATGGCTAGCTGTCTTCTTACTGTGCCCTCACATGGCAGAGAAAGGGAGACCATCTTTCGTGTCTTTTTAAAGGACACTAATCCCATTCATGAGGCCTCCACTCTCAAAATCTAAGGCCCGGCCTCCAAATACCATCACGTTGGAAATTTAGTCTTCAACATAAGAATTTAGGGGGGATGTGGGAACGCAAGCATTCTATCCATAGAAGATGGAGTAGGGAGACTTTGTAGGCTGGCAGGGTTCAAGGTTACATGCAAGCTGTTAACATCGGCCCTCTCACTTCCCTTACCTGACCATTCTTCCTGTAGTTCCCCCAGGTGCCACCTTAGAGGAAGGGCTATGCTGTTTTCCGCTGCCTCAGTCTGCCCTATCTATTCCTCTAGAAAACTTGCTTTCCTTCCCTGCTGTTTAGTTAGGTAGTATGAGGAAAGTGCCTACTTCATTCCCATGGAGGTAAGTGACTGATTACCCTTTATCTTCTGTGGCGCATTTGCTTGAAACTCCAAATAAATCTCAAATGGATCACATCCCAAGCAATGTGAACAACATTTTCAGGTGGTGTCTGGTCACTCCTTTGAAAAATTGGGAGTACAAGGAATCCAGACGAGCTAACTTTGCACATGAAACGTGATTGCAGCAGCATCTCTAAACGGGAAGCTCGCTTACAGCCTAACACCCAGGGGAAGGCTGGTCTCTTTATTTACAAAACTCCTAGGGCTCATGGGATTTACTTTCTTTTAGCTCATTAAAGCTTTTCTTTCTAAAAACAGGCCTTCCAGCTTTCATTTCTCTGCTGGTAGCTCTTTAAGGACTCCACTCTCCCTTCTGATTTCTGCTCCTTGGACGTGGATTCCCCGATGTTGTACTGATTCATCCACGACCAGGACTCCCTTCCTGACAGCTGGCCTGTGCTTTGTTATGGGAGTTCCCCAACCTAGAGCTGGCTCACTTCATCGTTGTTAATTTACAGTGTCACAGGTGTATTTCCAAACAATTTAAAAAGTGTAATTGAATCCATTATATACCAAACAAGTTGTTTCACAAAATTCTATTCATTGGGTTGCCTTCTACTGAGGAACATCAGTAATTACTCTCATGATGTAGAATACTTAATAATCCCGGCATCCCTGCAGAAACAGAAAAATCATCTTGAACACACGTATCTCCTCAAATTACTACAGTGATCACTGGCTGGAAGCCAATGATAAAGAATGTTTTAAAAGAGCTAGGACTTTTCATGCGATAAATGAATGTTTAAGATTTTTCTGGTTTTTTTTTTTTTTAGGAAGGGACTCTATCACGTAACATGCCTTGTCTATATTTAGAAAATGAGAACCAGATCATTATATGCATCCACTTACTTCAGGAGCACTGCTATGCCTCAGCCATTTGAAGGGTTTGCTTATTTATCTTGCAGGGGAAGAGTAAGAGCTTTATGGCTATCTAAAGATGCTGCTAATGTAGGATAAAATGCCTTTTCATGAATGTTTTTGAGGTTTAATGTTAACGCACTGTATTATTACTCCATAGAAGGGAAATGAAATGTAGTGCAGAAAACTAAATGCACCCAATGCATCAAATCAAGGCTAAAGAAGAATTGTGTTTCATGGAGAAAAGTTGTCACTGAGATGGCAACTTACATGTGTTTGTTGAAATAGACAGACAGATTGCTTAAATAGTGTGGAATGCTTAGGATGCATGATCATTGTGGGCTTTTTGTGGAAAATGTGTGTCCTTTCAGTAAGTCAAAAACATTTTTGCTGACTAATGTTAGAAGATGCTAAATTTATCAGACTGGTTTATTCATTGAAGAAATGTCAGAGTTTCACATGAGTTGCTCCACACTGAGATGAACTAGTTTTAAAGTGAAATCTCTAACACATTTGCTATTTAATCACAAACTTATGACTAAGATGAAAGGTAGCTGGAAGCAACAGAAAAAAGACTGGATCTGGTATCAGAAATAGTCCCTGGTCCAGTTTTTACTACTAATGAGCTCTGCTACCTGGACCTAGACTAAACACACTTTTCAGCCTTTTAAACCAGTACATTTAAACTTTATTTTATACACACATACCCCACAGGCTCCAGTTATATTGATCAAGACCTAAATTAAGAAGAAAGAGAAATATAAAAGCTCCAAATTCTTGACCTTCCCAAAGGGAGCATTAAAAGCCATAATTTTGTTCCTCTCCTTGATAGTTACATAAAATTTTAGCCTTCTCTTAAAATTTTAGCCTTCTCTTGAAAAAGATTGAAATAGCAACTGGTAGAATGAAAAAGAGAGTGGCTACACTTCCACCTGTAAAAAAAAATAAATAAAAGGCAAGAGTATTACATATTTTAAAAAGTATAAATCAGGATGACAAAAGAATAACAGAAGAATAAAAGTAAAGGGTCTAAATTTCCCCTTTATAATACAGGCAAAGACTCTCAGAAACAATTGAAAATAATAATCTGTTATTTCTTACACAAAATATCGCAAAAATAATGTATCACAAGAAAATATCATACACAAGGCTCTAGAATGCAGTTCCCCCCCTCAAAGAAAAACCCAGAGTACAAATATTGATGTCAGTATTATTTGTAATAATGACTACATTCTCTGTAAGCTCTACAAAATGGGGACAGTGAATTTTGTTCATAGGCTCCTAAAAGCATTTGGAATGTAATCAAACTTAAAGAAATACTTGTTGAGTGAATAAATCAGCTAATTAATCATTGTTTTGTTAAGACAAATATGAAATTGAGTAGAGGGCAATTTTACATTGATCTAGTTTATAATCAATAGGAAATTTATAACAGTATTCAACTTTTATGCCCTGAATATTCTCAAAATGTCTTAATTTCAAAATGTCAAATGATGGAAATACAGTCTTAGGTGTGCTCAAGTAACATTAAGAAATTGTATGGCTAAAAATATGGAAGCAACCTAGGTGGCCACTGATGGATGAATGAAGAAAATATGGTACACATGTAATAATATTCAGCCTTAAAAACATGAAGGAAATCTATCATTTGCAACAACATGGATACACTTTGAGGATATTATGCTAAGTGAAATAAGTTGGTCACAGAAAGGCAAATACTGCATGGTTTCACTAATGTGAGGTACCTAGAGGAATCAGACTCATAAAAGCAGAAAGTAAGATAGTGGTTATCAGCAGTAGGAGAGTTACGAAGTTGGGGAGATGTTGGTCAAAGGACACAAAGTTTTATTTAGACAGGAAGAAAAAGTTCAAAAGTTCTATTGTGCAATATGGCAAGTAGAGTTAATAACAATGTATTGTTTACTTCCAATTGCTGGGAGTAGATTTTAAGTGTACACACACACACAGATACATATGTGAGGGAATGCAAATATTAATCAGCTTCATTTAGCCATTCCACAATGCATACATATGTGAAAACATCATGTTGTATACACTAATTATATACATTTTTATTTGTCAGTTTAAAAGAATAATAATGAAAGAAATTACACAGCTAAATCAAAGGATGCACGTGTCAGAGTAACTGGAAAGACAGCACATGAATGCCACACAAGAGTCCTGTTACGTACAACCCCACTCACAATCACCTCTTTTTTCATTCTGTACACACCAGGCTCACTGCCCAGCTAATAGCCCCATTAAGCAAACCCAGGTTCTCCTATATTTCAACCTCTGTTTAGATACATTGCCTCACACTATTAATAAGTATCATCAGCCTTCCTAGCTTTGCCAATGCCTCAATTCCCTTTCCGCCTTTGTGCACATCACTCCAACAATCACTGGTCGACTTTATTGAACCTGCCTCATGGGCAGGATCCATATGGGGCAAATTTGTGAAGAGCTGCATTCCTCTGCTAAGCAGTTTGTAAGGCATTCTAGCTTAAATAGGGAAGCAGATAATTGTTTTCACCAACATACATTCCCTCGAAACCATCCCACTAAAATTAAAGCAAGGTCATTGGCAGGCTGGGGGCCAGAATAATGAGAGATTATTGACAAAGAAACTAGTTACAAAATGCTGAGAAAATCCAGGCAATACATAGAGAACTTGGAATAGCACAATCAGTAGGAATAAATTGGAGAAGTCGGGTTGGAAACACGTTTGTGATTTAACAGGATGAGGTGGCTAACAAATAAGGTATGGAGTTAAGGATGACTTCAAAGTGAATAGTTTGCAAGATTCAGGGGATCATGATGCCATTCACACATAGACAGAATCATTTTAGAAAGAAAGGACATCTTTGAGGGGAAGGTAATGGCTTTCGTTCTGGACATCCTAATTTTGATGAACCCATGGGGCATCCAAGATGAGAAATCTAGTAGGCAGTTAAGAGGAATTTGGTCTAAATAATGTAGCTAATCTGGTAACAGGCTGTTTTGACTGAGTACCAGCTATAAGCAAGAAGTAATCATTGGAACAGTAAGAAATTACTAGATTTTACGGTGCATTAGATCAAGAAGAGGGATAAATCGCTCTTTGGCACAGCTGTACATCTTAGTGCCTATTTTGGGTCCTCAATAGAAATAGATTAGGACAGATTGCACCTATGGACATGGTGCAATATTTAAAGGTAAGCCATGCTGTAAAGAAATTAATATAATGTTCAGTATCTTTAAAAATATTAGTCATAAGTTACATAAACCAAAATAGCAATGCTAACATTGTAAAAGTAAATTTAGTTAAATTATTAATGACTCAAACTTACATCTCCCCACTTCTTAAATCCCACAAGATTCCTGTTGTATGTAAGCAACACTTTCCTCAAACCAAGAGCCTTTTAGGAGCCTTCTATCATATCCATCTGGCACCAGGGTAGCAACATTATGGATCATTGAGACAGGTTGGCTAGAAAGGTAGATCACTTTTGTCAAGGAAGAAAATTTAAAGAGTCAAAGGATCATAACTCTTCTCCTCTACAGTAAAAATGGCATTGTTGATGATTTAAGAACTTTGGATGGTGCTATTCAGCCCAGATAATTATAAAGAATACCCCATTGTGGAATATTATTCCATAGGTCTGTAAATTTTCTGTCACTTTTCCTATTTCAGCTCATCTTACGCATCAAACAACTCACCCTGTCTATAAAATGGAAGATATGCCGTATAACAGTTATATCAAAAAAGATCTTTTATGTGTAATCACTTCATAAAGTGCTGTTTGAACATAAGGTATTAGTAGTTATTTTAGCCTATCACATGAATAGTGCATCCAGACTCCAAGATTTAGAGATTTAGAGTCAAGCTCCTTTTTCTTTTTTTTTTTTTTTTTTTTTTTTTTTGCCAAGCTCTTGGAAACAGTACACTGGATTCTAAAATAGAAAAACAACAGTACAGAATTATGATCATTGCTCTAGACTTACTGGATTTAATTATTGGTTCAAATAACAATGATAATAATAAAACCAACTTTAAATTCAGCACTTTTTTCTATGCATTGTCAACCCCTTTTGAATTTCATCTTTGACCCTGAAGTACAGATTTGATTCTTTCTTCAGAATGTTTACATTTATTTCACCTTCCAAATTACCTCCTTTTTCCTTGGTCTCTGAGTTTCAGAGGTACCTGATGCATAATTTATGCCCTAGAGACAAAAATATTGGCTGCCAAGATGCATAAAACTAGTGGCCCAGTTGTGAGGATGAATTAAGAATGGACATCATTTTATTTCATTTTAATTTAGTTTTGTTTAATTCTAGTTTCAGTTTTGATGATATTTTGCCATGCTTCCCAATTTTTTTCTTTGATAACAACATAATTCAGGGAGAAAGTACAAATTTGCCACAGGTTGAACACTTAATTTGTGTTCCTTAAAAAATAATGCTGTGCTTAGTTTATTGCCAGGAAACTTCTTGCTTGATGCTTTGGTCTGTTTTGTTTTTAATGTTTTAAACAAAGAATATTCCGGCCTTTACTTCAGAGTTTCTTCCAAAGATACATATGCATTTCTAGGAAGAGGAAAGAAAGAGTTGTAAGACATCTATCATCATAAAAAATTAATCACTTGACTCATCCCCTGTCCTGCTTGTTTCAGTTAGCATTTTCAGCTTCCCAAGACCATATTGTTCTACATCTGTATGTAAGAGCTCTGATGTATCTAGAATTTGTAAGCTGTCCAGCAAAAATGAAAAAGGGTCTCTCCATTCACTTTTCAATGATTAAAAAAAAGAGAGAAAAGCATCAATTTTATATAACTCTCTCTTTTACTCAAATCTTATTCTCTGCCTTGTGTTAAATTCCAGCAAGGCCCTAAACAATTGAAAAATGAACAAGTTGGTTGATCTTTAGCAAGTGAATACATTGTTCCCTAAATGGTTTCAATTACACAGGTTAGCTCTGTGGGAGGTTGCACTCACTGTGATGTTCTAAGGAGACTACATGGTTTCTGAGAAGATAAAATATTCTGTAGCACTGAAACAGGTCGAATATAATCCTAGGTAATATTCTGGTGCTGTGTTGTGGATTTGCAATAGGTCAATTCAGACAAACTGGAACTACATTTCCCAGAATTCCTTTATCCGCAGAGTTCTGGGTTGGGGGTGGAGCATAAGTGAATTTGCACAAGATTTGAAAGGTAAAAGTGAAGTAGCAGCCATACTCTTTGCATTCTATAAAGGTCCACAGGGGCGTCAGGCTGTGCTTCAGACAGCATACATGGTTGTCCCAGTGCCAGTTCAACTGGTTGGCTGGGGTAGCAGCCTAGTGCAGCTCCTCAGCTCCTTCCCACTCCCCTCCTTCAGCTTATCACACCCATGGCAGCAGCAGATTTAGCTCCATGAGGAAAAGCTCCAGCTTCTCCAGCAAATCGATTCCATAATCAAAGATGGAGGCTAACAGGTGGTAAGAGGGGCTAATGGGTCCCAGTTGGTCCTTGTGGGAACCAGCTCAGCCTCAAGAGTTCCAGATTGTTCGAACCCCTCTCTATTTCACGCCCTCTTTTCTCCCAACTTCCTGCCCCGTGGACTTAAAGCTTCAGCACCAGATAGTGAAGGAACAGCCCCACACTGACTGCTTCATGTGTCTCAGTCCACCTTCACGTGTCTCAGTCCGCTTAGGCTGCTATAAAAAATAACAAAGACTGGGTGGCTTAAACAACACTTACTGGATCACAGTTCTGGAGGTTGAAATGTCCACGATCAGAGTTCCTGCATGGTCTGGTTCTCGTGACGACTCTTCCTGGCTTGCAGATTGGGGCCTTGCTGTATCCTCACGTGGCATAAAGAGAGCTCTTGTCTCTTCATTCCCTTGTAAAGGCTCCAATTCCATCATGAGTTCCACCCCCATGACCTCATCCAAGCCCAGTTACCTCCCAAAGGCCCCACCTCCAAATACCATCACACTGGAGATTAGGGTTTCAACATATTGATTTTGTGGACTGCAAACATTCAGTGTATAGCAACCAGCTCCCACTTGTAGTGGACCTGCTTTTCTGACCCAAGCTCTAAATGCTGCACACTGAAATTGCCTTCTTCATGACTGTTCTTATGTGCTGTTTACTTCACTCTTTCCCATACCTCTATCTCTCAGAATCTGATCTAAACTTACATGAAAAACTCAAAGCCTATCTTTTGCATGAAGTCTTCCCTGATATTTATGGTAAAAATTAACCACTTTCTCCTGCATGTCCCTAAGCACTTTAGTTATATCTCTCTTTGTGCACTTAATGCATCCTGCCTTGTATGGCAGTTCTGTGTATCTCTCTCTCCCCTTGTAAATTTCTTGAGGGCAGAATGATGTCTCACTCATCTTTGTATCCCCAAAAGCAACTATCACAGTGCCCCATGCAGAACTGGAGTTCAATAAATGTCTGTTGACTTGAAGTCTGGTGCAGCTTGCTTTATCCTCTGGCACTGCTTGGGTTGTCACCATGACTGTATCTAAAGGACAACTTTACCCTTCTGGGCTCTCTGGTCTTGTTTTATCTATTTTTATGATGTGTTTATACATAGTCCCTGCTTTATGCCAGAAGCCAAGCACTTTGGTGATACATTTTCAGTCAGGTTAAATGTTTGGCATTTTTTTTCAAGTGGAAAGGCCCTCACCGGATGTATTAAGAGTTTTCTTTTGAAATCTTATCATGAAAATAAATGGGGCAAATAACTGCATACAATAAGGCACTGCATAGTTAATGTAGCAAAGTATCCTGCACACAGCAAGCTCATAGGAAACATAGGTTGAATGATGGAGGAAATAAATTGATGAATTTACTAATGAATGAAGAGCCTAACCAAGGGACAAAGCCATCAGGTATATGTATAGTACTGCCATTTTTAATGACATGATTTGAGACTCTTCCAAAGAAACATAGATAACTACCTACCTTGATGTAGTCCTACCAACAGGCAGAGGATTTCTCTCCTCCAAATTGCAGTAGTTCATCATTCTTGCTTAAAGTTTGCTATAAGCTATAGTTTATAATGAACTATAATTTATGGTGTATACAAGATAGGTCTTACCTACATTTCAAAAAATAGGGAACCACAGAACAATTCATGGAGCATAGTGTCGAAGGAAAGGAACTATTGTCAGAATACATCTAGATCTATTTTTTTTGTCTAACATCTATGAAAGAAAGGATGAATGGTAATGCATTAAATATTTTTCTAATATTGCTAAATGAGAATTTTATAAAATTCTTTCAACTCCCATCTTGTATATGAGATTCTAGAAGTTGCTATAAATTGTGCTAGAAAATGGGTACAGCTTTGTCTTGGAAGTTTTATGTTTCAAAACATTTTCCCCTCAAAGAAAGCTTTATTTCCAAGTCCTGAGGTGCCAGGTAAAAATCTATAAAGTAAAAGTAATTATCTAATATCTCACTTAGTAA
Source organism: Homo sapiens (assembly GCF_000001405.40). Classification (NCBI taxonomy): domain Eukaryota; kingdom Metazoa; phylum Chordata; class Mammalia; order Primates; family Hominidae; genus Homo; species Homo sapiens. The sequence continues at coordinate 8,650,665 of NC_000006.12, read as the reverse complement.
ATCATCAGGATAAAACTTCTTTAGGAAAAAGCTAGCTCCTTTTGTTTGTGAGGAAAAAAGAAATAAAAGAGACTCTGGGAAATTTTTCAAGTGATTTTAAAAAGCAAAACTTTTACTCTAATCATTTTCTTGTAAATAAATCTAAGAAAATAATAGTTTAGCTTAAAGTAAAAGTGTCCTGGTTCAATTTGTGTCCACTTCTATGCACAACCTATCATGTTACCTTTCACAGTGTCTTTGGTTGCACTTTACGTATCTTAAGCTTATCCTGCTCAGTATAGTTATCTTCACAAAATTGCTTTGGTAACTCAGGAACTGCAACATTTCTGTTGCCTCATTATCTAACAATGTATCCAACCAATCAAAACTCAAGAGGGTCAGAGAAGATCCTGCAAGTCATTCATCCAACAAATCTTCATTGAGCAGTAATGAAACATAGGCTCTGGTTTTCAATTTAGGACTGAGGACAGATGCACCCACATGAGTACAACACTTGTCACAGGTGCAACTATGGAACATCTCCACAGACACCAAGAGGTCAAGAAAGACAATACAGAAAGGGTGGCTTCTTTTTTTTTGAGACGGAGTCTCGCTCTGTCACCCTGGCTGGAGTGCAGTGGCATGATCTCGGCTCAGTGCAACCTTGGCCTCCCGGGTTCAAGCAATTCTTCTGCCTCAGCCTCCTGAGTAGCTGGGACTACAGACGTGCACCACCACACCCGGCTAATTTTTGTATTTTTAGTAGAGATGGGGTTTCTCTATATTGGCCAGGCTGGTCTTGAACTCCTGACCTCGTGATCAGCCCACCTCAGCCTCCCAAAGTGGTGGGATTACAGGCGTGAGCCACTGCACCAGGCCAAGGGTGATTTCTAAATTACATCTTGAAATATTATCAGTGTTCATCAGGCAGAAAAATGGTCTAGATAAGACAAAGGCATCTCATGCAAAGAAAGCAGAAGGAGCAAAGCATGAGATACGGAAGGCTTTGGTGCAATCAGAAAAACATCTGGTGTGGCCGATGCTTGTCAGGGAGAAGGAAGAAAGTAAGGGATGCATTATGGGTTGAACTGTGCCTCCCCAAAATTTACATGTTGAAGTCCTAACCCCATACCTCAAAATGTTACTGTATTTTGAAATTAGAGTCTTTAAAGAGGTAATTAAGGTAAAATGAGACTGTTAGATTGAGCAGTAATTCAACGGTACTGCTACCTTAGGAGAAGAAGAATTGGGACACAGAGAGATACCAGGGATGTGTGTGCACAGAGGAAAGGCCCAGGGAGGACAAAGAGAGAATGTGGTATTTACAAAACAAGGAGACAGGCTTCAGGAGAAACCAGCCCTACTGGCACCATGGTCTTGCACTTCCAGCCTCCAGAACTATGAGGAAATAAATTTCTATTGTTTAAGCCACCCAGTCAGTAATGTTTTATTATGGAAGCTCTAGCAAAGTAGTACAAGACAAAAGAGATGAGGGAGGCAGGGGTCTTCATGGGAGAACGTGTACGCCCTGAGAAGCTCACACATCCTGCAGGCTATGCAAATCCTTAAACAGTTAGACATAGGAAATTAGCAATACGTTAATAATATGTTATACTTCATAAAAGTATCACTCTGACAACTGTGTACAAGGTAGAAGACACCAGCTGACTACAGGAAGAAAAACTAACTGTTGAATCAAGTGGCAATGAGAGGCTAACAGAGGCAGGCATGGAGGGGAGAAGAGTTCTGATGTGTGAGATGTTTCAGAGGCACACTCAGCCAAAGCTGGACCCAGAGGTGATGTCATGTTGTACAAATGAGAACGACAACCTAGATCTGCTTCAATGCTGGGACCTACGATACAGGAACTCAATAAGCATTTATTTATCAAATGAATGAAGACAAGGCAACTACCCACTTTCATTAGATGGACATCTGAGAATAAACCATACTACTCCAAACATAATAACATCCATTCTACTACCTCATGTCAATTATGCTCTGCCATATACTAAATGTGCAGAGAGTTGAGTATTGACTATAAAACTATAGATAAAATATCCATCCATTCTCGTATGATTTATACACTGTTTTTCTATAATGTGTTGATTGAGTGCTCAATGGATATACAATTATGTGCTAGCTTGGTTCAGGAGTGGTGTCATAAAGTAATGTAGAGTAGATTTGTGCTCTAAAAAATATTTCAAAAAATTCAGAGACCACAAAATATGTGTTCTTTGAATGTATGTAGCAAAACTAAATTTATTTCAAAATGTCAGAGGAGAGGTGCTGCTAGTGTGGCCCTGACATACCTTATTCTAAAGGGGTCATGTAGAAAAATTTCTGTGTGAAGGAAGAATAAAGAAAAAGTTTAATCAAGGCAGTAGGAACTTAGTGAGCATTGAGGGATGGGTAGAGTTAGAAGGTTTGTCTTCTTCAAGATTTTTGCAAAAGCACAAAAGAAAAGTAAGAAAACAGTAATACAGAATACTGATCTGGCTAGTGTGGAAAGAAGTACTGATATCATCTAGGTTACCCATTTTAGTTTAGAGCAGGGGTTGGCAAGTTGTGGTCCATGGACCAGATCCAATCCACTGCCTGTTTTTGTATTGCCCATGAGTAAAGAATGGTTGAAAAACATCAAAAGGAAAAAAAAATTGATATGTGAAAAGTGCATGGAATCCAGTATTCGTTAGCCATAAAGTTTTATGGGAATACAGTCATGGTCATTATGTTTCCATATTGTCTGTGGCTGCAAGGGCGGAACTGAGTAATTGTGACAGAGATTGTATGGCCCACAGAGCCAAAAAGATTTGCTATCTGGGACTTTACAGAAAAAGTTTTCAGACCTGTGGCTTAGAGGAGAGACGAAAAGGCCAAAGACCTAGATAGTTACTGTCGTTTTATGAATACTACAGTGATACAGAGGCGAGCTTCCTGCACACAGGACCATGTAAGTGTTTGTCAAATTAGAATCTTGTAATGTGTACCCCATGGAAATTAAGTTCAAAGAATATTAAAAATTGTCACATGGCAAAAAGAGGTTCAAAACAGCCTAAGCAAATGATAACTTTGAGAGATGCTGAATGATATTTCAAGGCATTAATATGCCAATATGTTATGGGTCTATAAGGGAACATCACACACCGAGGACTGTTGTGGGGTGGGGGGAGGGGGGAGGGATAGCATTAGGAGATATACCTAATGCTAAATGATGAGTTAATGGGTGCAGCACACCAACATGACACATATATACATATGTAACAAACATGCATGTTGTGCACATGTACCCTAGAACTTAAAGTATAATAATAATAGAATTTAAAAAATTAAAAAAAAATAAAAAACATTTCTCAAACACCCTGGTATTTTTTTCTGCTCCATCTAACTCTCTAACATGGGACACTGAATGGCACTATTATGTAATAGAATCGGGCAGTGCCACATCAATTTGGTGAAGATGGTGACGATCAATAACGTTTATTCAATACTCACTGAATTATTTGAAAATTTAACTACAAAGGCATACAATATGTGATATTCTATTGATAATTCATAATCTCAAAAGTTGCATTCTGATATTAATGTTGCCAACACATACCATCTACTTCTTGGTGACCTGTAAGAATTAAATTCTTGGCAAGGAAACATAGCTTCTGAAGGCAGGGAAAGTCTACTGGCATGAGTGCTACTGTTTAAAAAGACCAAAGGGGGTTTAATGTAGTAGAAAGCCAAGGTAGCCAGGTTATCAACCAGCACAGATTTCACTCAGAGCCTCTAATCAGCAGGACCCCTTGGAAAAACACACAGCCTGCAAGGGATAATCACTGCTTGGAAGATATGTTATGCAAAATATGTTCTTTTTGTGCGAATACCACAAGGCACTGAATTGGCTCCTAGCAGGAACAACCATGGAGGCTGATAGAATTATCTCACCAATTTTTACTGTTTGGGAATATTCCTAAAATTTTAACTTCATTTCTTGATTTTATATCACTGGAGAGAAGTACTAACAAATCAGGACTGGGATAATAAAATATACTGCCGAAAATAAGAAGAGAACGTCTATCAGTTTGTTGAATGGCATACCAGAGTATTTGGTGTTTTTCGTTTTGCTACATATTTTGCCCAACAGTTGTAGTTTGCCTTCCCAAAGAAAATTCACATGCCCAGAAGGCACCAACCTCAACCTTTCTGTGAATGGTGGATTAAAGAGTACAAAAACAGGCCGGGTGCAGTGGCTCACGCCTGTAATCCCAGCATTTTGGGAGGCCAAGGTGAGTGGATCACCTGAGGTCAGGAATTAGAGACCAGCCTGGCCAACACAGTGAAACCCCGTCTCTACTAAAAATACAAAAATTAGCTGGGCATAGTGGCAGGCGCCTGTAATCCCAGCTACTCGGGAGGCTTGAACCCAAGAGCTGAGATCACACCACTGCACTCCAGCCTGGGCGACAAGAGTGAAACTTCATCTCAAAAAAAAAAAAAAGAATACACAAACCTACTTTCTGCTCAATTGTCTGAGTATTATCTGTTATCATCATCACCATCATCAGAGAAATTTCTATTCAAGAAAGACTTAATTTAAATTACCACAAAGGCCACGCATCGTGGCTCACATCTGTAATCCCAGCAGTTTGGGAGGTTAAGACAGGAGGATCATTTGGGGACAGGAATTCTAGACCAGCTTGGCCAACATAGAAAGACCCTGTATCTACAAAAAATACAAAAATTAGCTGGACATGATGGTGCACACCTGTAATCCCAGCTATTTGGGAGGATTGTTTGAGCCCAGGAGGTTGAGGGTGCAGTGAGCCATGATCATGCCACTACACTCCAGCCTAGGTAACACAAGAAGACTCCATCTCTAAATAAATAAATAAATTACCATGAAGTCATAACCCTTAGTAATCTGTCCAGTAATTTCTGATGTTTATATATGTTAACTTTCTAAAATATGGCAAAAGTTACTAAAAATGTGTCACCATAGCTGCTATCATTTTATTTTTTTAATATTAAATCCAAAGACTGGTTGCTAAGATCCTTAACAATAATGAACTTCAGGAAATTCTAGAAGAAAACAGAAGATGACACATGTGGATTGGTCCTCATGCATCCTGATGGCCAGCTTCTGGCACAAACACTGATTTTTATTTGGCACCTAACTCACTGTCAGTTCATAGGACCTGAATGTGACCCATGGGTTAACTAATCACTATGTTGCATTTTCCCTGTCCACAAATGAAGGTGGCTAGTAACTCAAGCTGGTCAAATCAGAGTGACTCTCACAGCATGCTGCCAGGAAAGTTACTTGTGTGCTGCAGACTTAAATGTTGCTGACGCTCATGCTGCTGCAGCCATCCTGCCACTATGAAGACACTGTCTCGGCTGAAGCCAGGCTAGGGGGCAGACGAAGCCTTGAGGTAGAGAAATTTTGAGTACTGATGACATTATTTGAGGCCCTAGACCAGATTATGGCTAAATCTAGTCCTATTTCAACCTTTTGAGTAATACTGTGTTTTTATTATGCCACTTGGGGTAAATTACAAGGAAGTGTTTTAGCTGTTACAGTAACAAAAAAAAATAAGCATCAGAGCCATGCTGATAGATCAGCTCCAATGAATCTAGTGTTTCATTAGGAGAAGGAAACAAAGAGACTACCCAGTCTAGAGTTTCTTCCTTCTGGCGGGTTCTTGGTCTCGCTGACTTCAAGAAGGAAGCCACAGCTCTTCGTGGTGAGTGTTACAGCTCTTAAAAGTGGCACAGCCCCAAAAAGTAACCAACAGCAAAATTTATCATGAACAGCAAAAGAACAAAGCCCCCACAAGCATAGAAGGTGACCTGACCGAGTTGCCACTGCAGGCTACTAGCCAGCTTTTATTCCCTTATTTGTCCCCACCCACGTCCTGCTGATTGGTCCATTTTACAGAGCACTGAGTGGTCCATTTTACAGAGCACTGATTGGTCCATTTTACAGAGTGCTGATTGGTCCATTTTACAGAGTGCTGATTGATGCGTTTATAATCCTTTAGCTAGACACAGTGTGCTGATTGGTGCGTTTTTACAGAGTGCTGACTGGGGCATTTACAATCCTTTACCTAGACAAGGAGTGCTGATTGGTGCGTTTTTAGAGAGTGCTGATTGGCACATTTATAATCCTTTAGCTAGACACAGAGCACTGATTGGTGCGTTTTTAGAGAATGCTGATTGGTGCATTTACAATCCTTTAGCTAGACACAGAGTGCTGATTGTTGCATTTTTACAAAGTGCTGATTGGTGCATTTATAATCCCCTAACTAGACCCAGAGCACCGATTGGTGTGTTTACAATCCTCTAGCTAGACAGAAAAGTTCTCCAAATCCCCACTCGACCCAGGAAGTCCCGCTGGCTTCACCTCTCACTACCACAAATAAAGAACTAGCATAAGCCAAACATTTTATATTTATTAAAACCTCTTTCCCTTCTGGGTTACAATATTAGTATTTTGCTCCTATTTCTGACCTTCAGAGTAATAATTATAGATCTGAGCTGCCCGGGGTTTGCCTGTATCCTCCCTAGATTATAACATTTTGTATTCCTTTATATTTAGATTTACTTTTTAGGCTAATCTTATGACACATAGTGACACTCAGAAGCTCAGTGTTTACTATTTGTCTTATAAAGAAATGAAAGCTCCATTCATATGCAACTGTTCCAACTGTGTCCAGGTATACTCATTCATGTAGTCAATAAACAGTTAGTGGGAAGCCTCTCTATTCTAGGCACTGTTGTCTGTACCGGAGACACAGCAGTGAGCAGATAGGCAGACATGCCTCCTCTTGAGGAGATCATATGCTAGAGGAGGAGATGGATGATACACAAGAAAAACACATGAAATTTAAGTATGTTAGATAGTGAATTCCATGAAAGGGATCCCTGAGATGGGTAGGGGCATGGGTTACAACTTTACATAAAGGGGACTGGGGAAGCCTCATCAGGAAGGTGACATTTAAGTAGAGACCTTAATTAAGGAGGTCAGAAAGAAGAAACATTGTAAGCAGAGAGAGTACAGATGCAAAGGTCCTGTGGTGACAGCATGCTGTGGACACTGTGTGTGCTCTAGGAACAGCAGGGAAGCCGCATCAGTGGACCAGACAGAGTGAGGAGAGGGAACAGCAATAAGAGGTCAGATCAGAGAGTATATGGTGGAAAGTGAGTGGTGAAAGAAGGTAGCAGATCCAGTAAAGCCATACAGGCTATATGGATCCAGGCTCTTTGTTTGTCTGTTTCCTTAATGCGTAAAAAACATTGGAAGTTATAAGCCAAAGTGCCATAATCTAACTTACATTTTAACAGGCTTACTGTGGCAGTGTTAGAATAGACTTGAGGTCAAGATCAGAAGGGAGATCACACAAAAGAATATGACAATAATCCCAGTAAGGAATTATAATGGCTTGGATGGAGGTGGCAGTGATGGAAAGGTTAAGGATTTATCAGATTCTAATAAAGACAGTGGATATCGACAACATATTCTGATGAAGTCCAGATGCCATAATGTAGATGGAACTTCATGATCCAAGTGCCCTGGTCACTCCTTGCCTCTCATGCCACATTCCAGCCACCTTGACCTGCCTCCATTTCCCCTGGCACCCTGCCCTCTCGCCCTAGCAGATGCTAACCTGCCGTCACCCGGCAGGACTCAAGCTTGAATTCACCTCCTCCAAGGAACCTTCAAAGCCCTCATCACACTAGTTCTATGTTTACTTGTCTACCCCCCACCACCCCATTACACTTCCAGCTGCTTGAAATTCTATTCTTTGACTTGGTCAAGGTTACGTCCTTGTGGTTTAAACAGTGCTTGCCATAAAATCGACACTCATAAATCTCTGTTTAATGAATGAGTGAAATCCCATTTTTATTTCGTGCTTTTAAATTTACTTAATTGCTCTTTCCTCATTTGTAAAATTGAGTAATAACTTCCTTACTAATTTTGTTGATGTGAAGATGTAAGTGTCCAAGATAGATACAGGCAGAGAAGAGGCACACAGGCATTTCTATAGCTTAACTCATGGATTTTCAGTTTATACAACTAAGGAAGGCTGTCCTATTTTGGCTGACTTTCTCTGCCTTTTGAAAAAAATGTCTCCACTTTTTATTTAAAGTGCTACTTTACATTTTTGAATGCTTACTTTACCTTTTAAAATATTAGCCGAAGGATAGGGAAAAGACGTTGGATTCAGTGAGAAACAAACCAAACTTTTGCAAGAGCTTTGCTTATTCCAACAAAAACAGTACTGTGAATCCCCCCAAAGGGAGAGTGGGTGCTGACCTAATCTTGTTTGCTTTCCTCTTCAGTATTCTTCCCTACCAGCCTCCCTGGGGGCCTTAAAAGGAATTACCAAACTGCACAAAGAACTGCCTTGATGGTCATGCTTACTTGGTGTTTCTGGTCTAATGGACGAGTGATGTTGAAATAACAGAAAAGTGCATTTTTTCATTTTTATTTTGATAGCTTAACATTTTTAGGAAGTTTGTCTTCCTCTCCAAAGAAGTATCACATAGAAACAGCAAATTGATTGCTTAGTAGGAAAAAAAAATACCATCATACTCCCCGGGAGAAACTGAAATGATCATTAATTTAAGTAATTGTAGCCTCTATTTGTTGGTATTTACTATATAGGCTAAACAGGCACTGGGATGAGTGAATATTCTCATTTACCACCCACTCCCCTAGAAGTCTGTGAAATGTATACTGGTATTATCACCATTTTGCATGTATGGAATATGAAGCTTAAAGTGATATAGTAGTAACTTGCCTAAGGTTACATAGCCTTCTAAGCGGCAGAACCTATAGACTAGTGACTCCATGATACACATTTCACTCAAGAAGTGCCTTTTCATTTGTATCTTCCCATTTTATGAATCTTATATCAAGGCTTTCCATATCATTCTTCAATTGCTATGGTGGGTCCTCAAGACAAAGCAAGAGGGAGAGAAAATTAGATAAGTCACCTTTTTAATTTTCCTTGGTCATCATGTAGACCATGCTAGAGGAATCTTCTTAAAACACTGCTTTCCTCTGACTCCTGCACTACACATAAAGCACTGATAACTCTAATTGCCAATAGAACATAGGTCATAATTCTTTGTCTGACATTCGAGGGTCTTCACCCTCTGCCCTGGTCTTCTTATCTGGTATTATTTGGGCCTTATACTCAAGGTCACAGCATGAGTTTCTGTACTGAAAGGCTGCTCAGCTATATGCAATGAGCCTGTTTTCAAAAGGCTTGAGCGCAAGTCCATCTGTCTGCTCTCCATTTTTTAAATATCCCTTGGGCTCTCTAATTCCATTCCCATTTCATCTCTCTTGAATGCCTCCCTCTATAATTTGCCTATTGAGATCCTATCATATTCAAATGACTGCTCAAGCTATTCATCTTTAATCATGTCTTTCTGAAGCAATTTCTCTTTTGTTCCACATTCGAAAAAAATTTACTCTGAACCATATATTCATGGTGCTACTCCCATATTGATTTGAATAGTAACCTGCCTCATCTCTTTTACTAGATTTCAACCAACTTGAATATAGGAAATTGTAAGAGTCCAGGATAGGTTTGGTTATGGTGTAATAAAGAAATTTCTCAGTGAGTTACAATAGCATATGTGTATTTCCATTTCATGCTCTGTGTCCATCAGCTCTGAACTTGGTTTCCATAGCATCATCCTCCACCATGTGGGAAGTGGCCCATTAAAATGGCAAGGACAAGGACAGGTAAGGTAAACACTAGTTCTTAGGGCTTCTACCCAGAGGTAGCACATCACACACATCAAACCTACTTACATTTTATTGTCCAAACCAAGTAATTGGTCAAGGACAACTTCAAGAAGAGTGGAGACATGCAAACATAGCATGGTCCTGGAAAGAGGAGAAACAGGATATTTATAAAATTCCCTAATGGCTATCAAAGCCATCTTCACAGGCATCACAAGAACTAAGACCTTTACCCACTTCTGCATTTCAGGCATGCCTCACCAAGACAAAGACTAAGACCATCTTCTTGTACTTCTCTGCCATGGTCAGTGTATAAGGGTAGGGCTGAAACCAAGACAAAGACCAAGACCATCTTCTTGTACTTCTCTGCCATGGTCAGTGTATAAGGGTAGGGCTGAATTGCAAACACTCTCCCTGCTCTGGCTCCAGGTGTTTCATAACCATGAAAGTACAAAGCCAGAAAGAACAGACAATCGTGCCTGTACAACCTCAGATGCCCTGTGACCTTCACACACAATCAATATTGTCTTGCTAATAATTAAAAGGAGGGGCTGGCTGATGTCTCAGTTATTGACAGATCCAAAATCTCAGTGGCATACAAAAATAAGCAAGTTTTTTCTCACTCACACATCTTCAGGGTAGTTGGGATGTAGCTGAGCTAGGTCAGCTGCAGCTGGGTTGGGGTCCAGGCTTCAGATTGGGTCCAAGTTATTCTGTGTGTGTCTCTCTCATCCTCTTAGAAAAATTACTCAAGGTATCTTCTCGTGATAAAAGGCAGGAATACAAGAATGCAAGCCCAATTGGGCAAGCACAGGTTATGCCTCTGAACAAACTGTACCTGATAAGATCTATTTGACCAAAGTAAAACACACACTCAAGCCCCAGACCAAGGGGTGGTAAAGAACACCTCGTCCACCATGAGACAAAGTCACAGGGGCAAGGAGAGAAATAGTATACCCCTTCCACCAATGAAGTAGGGAAAGAGGTAACATTTGTGTTCAAGAATCTATCTACCCTATTTGATGTCAAAAGAGGGGGAAATACATGAATTTTATGATAACATTTTTTACGCTCAAGCAATATTTTCTGCAGGACTTCTCTAAGTCAGAAAGATGGATGTGCACTTATCTAAGAGAGTTATGTCTGAGCTGTGTATGTTAACTGCCATCCGGAACTATGTTTTTTAAAATAAATTGCCTATTCTTCTTCCACTGCAAATCACATAGAGAAAGCCCTGGACTGCTGGAAATTAGAAGGTGTCTGATGTGTTAGCATATGGGGGGATGATTGGGACTCCATGCCTATATTATTTGGAGCATTTGCGTCAGTTGTGATATGGCCAGTGCCAAGTTGTTGGCAGTAGCACCATTATCACACAGCTCCAGCAAAAGATTCCCCATGTAGGTGACGAGGTTCTTGTCCCCTTGTCAAGATTCAACAGGAATCTTGAAGGGAAACAGACTGAACTCCTAGACCTCTTGCTATTACCAGCAGATCAGGAAGGGGGTCTTAAGTATTTCCACCCTGAAGACACACTGGAATCACTCCCCAGTTGTATAAGGTGGCACATGCTTACATAATTAATTCGAAATTTGCAGGATATTAAATTTAAAATGACTAAAACATGACAAAAGTATTTAGAAAAATAGAGGCCAGAAAGAGAGAGGAGAGACCTAATGCAAGAAAATATTAATGCAAATCAGACTGTAGAGTGGAGGTCAAGAAACGGGAATGAGAAGTAAATTGTTTAAAATAACCCATTTGGAGAACTCTTTTTTCTGCAGAAGGTCCAAGAAAATTAAGGCATTCAAAAGTTTCTGAGCATAGAGTTTACCTTATATTGAAAAACCACATAGACATATGCAAGAGCAGTGGAACTACAGTTTCTGACTTGAATTCAGTTCTGTGGGTCTGAAACAAGAAGCTCTGGAGGGTCTAAGGGAAGCAGGTTAGAACAAAGAGCTGGGCTGGAAAACTTCACAGTGCTGCTTGTGGTAGTAAGCTCTATAATTTACCAATAAGAACATAATTTGTATCCCCCAAACTGTGTGCTCTGTGGTAAGGTAAATTATCATTTTCTAGTCTAAACAAATGGCTGCAATATTCTGGTGTGGATTCTGCCCCATGAAAAAAGGATATGAACTATTTGTGTAGGACTGGGGCTGACCTTCCAGGGTTTGAAGAATGCATTCTCTCTTCAGCTTTTCACGGGTGGAAATGGAGAACACAGGTGACCACTGCTTGCCAATGTCCTGGTTGCCCCCACCACTGTTTGCATTTAGCAACAGTGTGGTCCATCCCATCCCATTTGTGATGATGGAAATGTTCTATGTCTGTGCCACCAATAAAGGGGCCACTTGCCACATGTGGCTATTGAGCACTTGACAAGTGGTTGATATGACTGAAAAAATAATAATTTTAAAATTGTACTTAATTTTAATTAAATTTAAATAGCTATACGTGGCAAGTGGCTGCCATATTGAATAGCACAGTTCTAGAATCTCTGAGTCCTCTGAGCCTCCACACTCTTTTAAGTACTCAAAAGCTGCTCACATGGTCCCTGTTCTGCAAACACATACTCTCACTGCCAGTAACTGAGTGCCAAGGAGCAAATGGCAGTATCTTAGCAGCTTTTTCAGCTGTCAAAAGAAAAAAAAATTTCTGCTCCTGGGCAGACATCTGACTGTGCAGCCGTTGCAGAGAGACAATTTAGTTCAGAATTATGTGCCACCCTGACTCTACCTGGCAGGTGCCTTCTGTGCTAGCTCTTCTATCTGCAAACTTGAGAAAGATGACAGGGTTTTAAATGATTAACTCCTCTGGGCCACATTACTTAATTATACAGTACATCCAGGGATAGGCACATGGGTCTTTTATGGTAAATGATATGACGGTCTTAAAAACTCATTAATATGTCATTAACCAAGCAGACATTTACTAATTAAACAATTAGCCCCTCTGTTCTATTCCTTTGTTCCTCCCAGAGATGCTCGGTTACCCAGATCCCCAATTTAGCAGAAGTCCCCCACTTCTTTTCCCAGAGAAAATCACTCGTAAAGCAAACTCAGAGACTAAATGATTTTACCAGATTTTTTTTTCCAAGTTGGCTACGAAGACAATCAAAGCTGATTTCCATAGCATAAATGAATGTGGATGTTGGTCTAGTTTAAATAAATCATCTTGATATGTAAACCAATTTTAGATATATGTGAAATAGCATCCGCCATAACTGGTGTAAATACTGAATATAACAAAACTACATATTCCCAGTTAAGTAAATACAAACAGACAAGATTAATGACTTGAGATGTATTAATATGATTCATCACAAAAAGTCAATACCAAAGAAATGTGTAATGTTCTTAACTTTGTATCTCAGAAGGTTTTTAATATCCATTATGCTTTCAGCTAATTTTAACTAAATCATATTTGTTGCGCTGAAACTATGCTAAACTGCGGCACAAGGGGGATTATTCAGAATATCAAAATATAACATCGCAAATGTCTTCTGAAACAAATGTCTTTTGTATTTTAAAAAATGAAACTTAAAGGTTTTAAATTCGGATTAGAAATTCTCTAAGAACATTCAGAAGTATTAGAACACATGCATATTTTTTCAGCTACATTTTGGTTCTCTATTTTATGATTCAACTTGACAGTTACCTTTGTCAATCTCCTGTTGACCTAAAGTAATGAACACTGGCAAAGGATCAAAAGCTGGGTAATAACTGGGATGGTCCAGAGATGATTTAAAAAAACAAAAAACGCTGGAATTGCTGGAGCTTAGATGACCACATTCTCATGTGGCATGATCAGCTCCAAGTTGATCAACTATTTTTGGTTTTTCTAGTTTGTCTATTGGCTTTTCTTTCTGCCTTCCAATGAGGTGATGAAGCTGAATGAGAATTAACACAATGCCAGAAATTATACTAACAGCAAAGTATGTCTAGTTAAGATTCTCAATAGCTCTAATCTTGTGGAGGACCAGCAAATGGATTATCCACTCCATGAAATGGGTATGCAAGGGGTCTCAGGGTAGTTGGAGCACTGTACCCAGGAAATTAATTGCTCCAGAAAAGCCCACTTCATGCAGACAACACTGGTTCTTAGACCAGAAACAGCTCTACAGTGAAGCTAATAATGCTTAAGCTTCAGGACCCCTCAGTGGCCCAGGCTCTTGCAAGTACTGGGAGCTAGTACTTACTGGTTGGGCAGGGGAAGTCAGGCAACAGTTAGGAAAAACTCTTTATACATTGCCACAAGTGATTTAAGAAGGAAGAGGCATGGATCTCCAAAGCTTCTGTTACATGTTCACATTTCTATTCCCATTCTACATAAATATTGACTTTCATATTTATTTATATTTAAACTTTTCAGTACCTTTTTAAAGGAGAACTCAAATAATGTAAGCTTTGGGATGCACAAACGTGGATCTCCTAAGTTAACTGATGTGTTTGATGCTGATATTAAATAACGGGCTCTGATTATCTATTGTAAGATGCTATTTGATGTAGCACAAAGTTGAGGAATATTAATTGATTATGTGAGTGTTTAAGGGTATTCTGCAAAAAGCATCATTATATTTGTGACTTTCTGCTGGCAGAACCAGATTGGAAAACTCTCAATCCACACAGAAAACACTGGGCAGAGGAGTGGAGGATCTGGCTCTTCTCGTCTGTGCAGCACTAAGGGACTGTGTGGCCTTGGGAAAGTTAGTGTCTCTGGCCTTCACCATGCTCACAAATAAAAACAGGGAGGAATGGAAAGTGGACTAGATCCTTGGTACTCAAAATGTGGTCCAAGGAAGTGCTTTAGAAATGCAGAAACTGAAGCCCCACCACCACTCCCCTAGACCTCCTGAATCCAAATCTGCATTTTATCAAGATCCCCAGGAGATTCATATTTGCCTTGAAGTTTGAAAAGGGCAAGTACAAGAATGCCCCTAATACCCCTTTCAGGTCTAAAATCCCAGGACTGAAGTGTAGGAGGGCACAGAGAAATCAACCGAAATATTTAGGAAAAAAATATTAAACTCTTGCTCAACTTTACCTTCTCCTCACTATCCTTTTATCCCCAACCACTCACAAATTTTCTTTTTATCCTCCAGTCCAATCATATTTTATCTATCATTCATATTATTTGGTTTATCTAATTTCTTAGAATAAATTCACTGAGGAATTTCAGTTTTATTTAATCATAATTGTGTTAGTTTTTTTCTCACACTGCTATAAAGACATACCCAAGACTGAGTAATTTATAAGGGAAAGAAGTTTAATGGACTCACATATCCACATGGCTGGGGAGGCTTCAGGAAACTTACAATCATGGCAGAAGGTGAGAGAGAAGCAAAGGCACGTCTTGCATGGAGGCAGGTGGACAGCAAATGAGGGGAGGGGGAAGACCCCCTTATAAAACCACCAGATCTCATGAGAACTTACTCACTATCACAAGAACAGCATGAGGGAAACCACCCCCATGATCCAATTACCTCCCACCAGGTCCTGCTCTTGACAGTTGAGGATTATGGAGATTACAATTCAAAATGAGATTTGAGTGGAGACACAGAGCCAAACCATATCAATTATGACCTTTCACATGTTGCTGAATGTTTGTGCTCTCCCAAAATTTGTATGTTGAAATCTCCCAAGGTGATGATAGTAGGAAATAGAACCTTTGGGAGATGATTAGGTCACAAGGACAGAGCCCCCATGAAGGGGATTAGTGCCCTTATCAAACAGGCCCAAGGGATCTCATTCATCCCTTCCATCACGTGAGGACACACTGAAGAGAAGATGCCATCTACAAGGAAGTGGGCCCTCACTAGACTATTCCAGCACCTTGATCTTGGACTTCCCAGCCTCCAGAATGGTAAGAGAGAAGTTTCTGTTGTTTATAAACCACTCATCAATGCTGTTCTGTTTAGCAGCCCAAAAAGACTGAGACATGGATGCAGTTCAAAGTTTTGAAGATGCAAGAAATAAATAAAAATTATATACTGTCTTTAATTCAAAGTGATTTCCTATAAATACCAAAATACAAATTATAATTCAGTTCATTGATTATTTTGTCATGTCCTTTGAAACTTTCCTCTTTTTAAAAAATCTATGTGATAATTTCTCCAACTTTCAAGGGAAATTACATCAAAAGGCTTTCACAGTAAATCAGGCTGGGCGTGGTGGCTCATGCCTGTAATCCCAGCACTTTAGGAGGCCAAGGCAGGAAGATCGCCCGAGGTCAGGAGTTCAAGACCAGTCTGGCCAACATGGCAAAACCCCATCTCTAATAAAAATATGAAAATTAGCCAGGCATGGTGGCGCACACCTATAATCCCAGCCACTCAGGAGGCTGAAGCAGAACCACTTGAACCCCAGAGGCGAGATTGCAGTGGGCCAAGATTGCGCCGCTGCACTCCAAGCTGGGTGACAGCAAAACCTCATCTCAAAAAAAGAAAAAAAAAAGAAAGAAAGAAAAGGCTTTCACAATAAATCAAAGTAAAAAACATTGGTGGTGAAGGTTTGATAGTATGGCCCAAGTTTTCTGGATATTGACATAAAGCTGCCCAGTGACAAGCCTTCTTATAAACACTACTCAACTCTACAAGGCCACTGGCATGTATTTGGGTTAAAGAACTCTGTGAGACACACAAACTATATGTTTATAAGAAATTTTTAATTGAAAACGTATGCCTACATGAGATTGTATTCCTTGTTTATGAAACTAAAAGGTATTTACCTGTACAGGTTGCTATACTTGCATTACGTGCAAATAGACTTAGAGATAATTTAAAAGTTCTAAGTAGTGTATACTTTGAAAAACTTTGATCCCTAAAGAGAGAAATAGAAGTCATCAATAAACTTGGCTCTGACTTTGCATTAGTCATGGATTCAGAGAATCATGAGCTCAGATTCCAGTAAATACCTGTACAACAGGAGGAAAGCCATTCAACATTTCAACACTGGGAAACATTTGCGTGAGAAAGTTTTTCACAAAGGGAAGATCAATCCCCCCTCCACTAACTGAAAACAAAATTAATTACCACAGTTGGCAGGAGATAAATGGCTTCAATGCACAGAATTGTGTAATTACAGCAGCTGCAAAGCTGGAAACCCGTTCCTAACTTTGAACCTCAACCTCGACTTGACATTTCTCCCCATGTTCAGCTGTGCCACTAGCAAGCATATTCAAAGTTCCTTCATCCTGCTTCCATAATTATATGTTGGGGTGCAGAAGTAATCATTTACTCCATTGCCTACATGAACCTTATCATCCTCTGCTTTGCAAAAGGTACGTTGTATCATCTTTTAAAGTGTTGAAATCTCCAGAGAGAAAAATTTATTAGGAGAAAGTTACTGGTATGGCAGCAAAATTAATTCTGCCAGAACATGTCAAATTAACCACCCTCCTAAGGACTGGAGTCACAGCCAAGCTCAGAAATGGACAAATATCCAGGATCAATTTCTTCAATGTCACTTTAGGTTTGAGTAAAGCCAAGGTAAGCATCGCGATCTATCTCAACATTCCAATGTTTAGTCCAAAACAACACTGGCTGGAAAACAAGAGGTTAAGAACTAAGGAAACACTTCAAGCAATTCCTTTTTTCCCTCCCCCTTTCCAAGCAGCAACAAAGGTTGTCAGTTAGGCTCTGTGGAGATTTTGGTTCTCCCTTTGAAGCAAAGAGAAAAGTTTTTAATCTCATCTTTAATTTTAATCCTTTAAAATATGTAAGTGATTTAGAAATGTACAAGTTAAATTTGGCAGAGGAGCCTACTGGTAGAGAAGTAAAGCAATTTATTTCAACTTTGCAATAATAAAATAGTTCAAAGCTGGCCACCTAAACTATCCAGATGCGTCAGCCACAGGCTGCAATCTACTGATTTTTAAAATTCCCCTTATCAAAAATGCTTAGAAGAGCAAAGTATATGGTACAAACAAGGGGAGTGACAAGGTAATATCAAAGAAACATGCTCATGCTTGAAAATGTATTTACATATTGGTTTGTTTCTCCTGCAAGGGAAAGAAATCTCCATAAGCTTTTCAGAAAGTTTTTCTTATTCGAAGGGAGTTTTATCATTTCAGAGTAATACATTTACAGGTTGCTATATTTAGGGATTCAAGTCATTCATTTTTGATGTACAGCTATATACTCATAGGATTCTCATGTGATTTACATCAAGTCAGAGATGGTAGGTCTTGCTTAATGGTGGTATACTTGTGCCTGACAATGGTTTTTCAGTTACTATTTCTACATTTTAATAAACACTCCTCACTTAGCAGAATAAAACAAACACCATTATAATGGTCACGAATTCTGTGAATCGGATTTGGAGAGTGTGCGGGAGGGATGGCTTGCCTCTGCTCCATATCTGGCCACTCAAGTGGGGAGATTCAAGACTGCAGGCAATGACTAGTCATCTACAGGAGGAATCCCCAGTCTCCGGACACAAACCTATACTGGTCTGTGGCCTGTTAGAAACCAGGCTGCACAGAAGGTGAGCAGCCATCAGTTGAGCATTACCGCCTAAGTCTGCCTCCTGTGAGATCAGTGGCAGCATTAGATTCTCATAGGAGCCCAAACCCTATTGTGAACTGTACATGCGAGAGATCTAGGTTGTGTGCTCCTTATGAGAATCTAAGTAATGCCTGATGATCTAGGTGGAACAGTTTCATCCCAAAACCAACCCCTTACCCCCAGCCACCTCCAACCCCCACCCCTGTCTGTGGAAAGGCTGTCTTCTACCAAACTGGTCCCTGGTGCCAAAAAGGTTGGGGGCCATTGATCTAGAGGATCATGAACACGTATATGCGGTGACTGAGCATCATCTAGACCTCAGTTAAGACTATGGACCAGAATACCTACATGTGGCTTCTCCATTGATTTCTTGGGCTTCCTTTCAATATGGTGGCTGGATTTTAGGTTGTGATCACAAGAGAGAGGAAATGGAAGCTGACCATTTCTTAACACCTGGACCCAGAAACTGGCATGGCATCACTTCTACTACTGATCAAGCAGGCGCAGAGTCCAGACTCAAGTGATATATACCACATCTCACAATTAGAGGTGTCAAGGATTTGTGGACCAGAGTGGTATGCTCATGTCCTCATCAAAGACCTAATTGTTGGCAATTACTTTGGACCTGTTCTGCCCATTCCAAGTAACTTTGGCTCTCTAATTTCTACCCAAGTTCTCATTGCCCATAACTATAAAGCTATAGCTCTTGCCTCCTGCCCTGTTCTCATCATTTTTTACTTCTTTATTGTCCACTCAGTTCACAACCTGATGGCAAATCTCCAATCCCCTGCTCTTGCCTAATGGGTGCTGGTCATTAAGCAGGGGGATGATGCTGTTTGGTGGATGAGCAGAAAAAGGACTATGGGCTATGCTGAAGTGGAAACTGGAAGGAGAATAGCTAAGGGAAGGTAGTAGAAAGCTTTTCATAGTCACTAAGGTCTAACACAGAAATCATTCCACTGACTTCTGGAAGGAAGCCAATACAAATCTAGCTTATCTTTTAGTGTTAATTTATTATAAATTCAAGTGTTAACTGGCCCAAACAAATCATTATTGCCAATTTTCATACAGCAAAAACAATTAAAATTTTAATGACAATCATATAGAAATAGCAAAAGCTCTAAAGATGTCATTTCCAACATCTTCAGATGGAATTTCCCATGGCAACCAAATGGAAAGTGATAAAAATTGTTTAATATAATTAATATGTATGTCTTACATGGAAATGTATAGCACTAAATCAGTGAGAACAATGAGACTGTATTTTAGAAATAAAATTAGCAATTGAAAGATAGGGATCAGCCACGTAAACCTTACCTACGAGATTTTACTCGTTTTTATGCTTGCTTGTTTTCTGTTTTTTGCTTCACTTTTTGTTTTGGAGGGTTCAGTTATTCTTGTTGTTGCATAATATTTTAAAAAATACTTGCACACTTTTAGAAGAGTGGATACAAGATTTTAAGCTGATTTACTTAAATTTAATTATGCAATATAATCTCCATTTAATAGATATCCCATCAGTTCCCTTTTAAATGCCAGCCTGATGTTTCTTTTGAATGTGATCACATGCAGGTGACTGGAGATGCACGTCAGCTTTGCGTGGGTTGTATTTGAGGCTATATGCTGAGACTTTGGATTTAAGAAGTTCTCAGTAACATCTGAGATTCTATGATCACCTACCTGTCTGTTAGGTTTCAGTACACTAGAAAGTGAATTAGCTGGGCATGGTGGCTCACATCTGTAATCCCAGCACTTTGGGAGGCCACGGCAGGCAGATCCCCTGAGGTCAGGAGTTCGAGACCAGCTGGGCCAACGTGGTGAAACCCCATCTCTACTAAAAATACAAAAATTAGCCAGGTGTGGTGGCAGGTGCCTGTAGTCCCAGCTACTCGGGAGGCTGAGGCAGGAGAATCACTTGAACCCGAGACGTGGAGGTTGCAGTGAGCAGAGATCATGCCACTGCACTCCAGCCTGGGAGACAAGAATGAGACTGTCTAAAAAAAAAAAAAAAAAAAAAAAAAGAAAGAAAGTGAATCAACCCATCCAGAGCTACGATACTTTGGGGGAAAGTGGAGGGAAGTGAAGGAAACTGTCCTGTAGGACTGGATAAGCCAGATGGGAGCCAAATATCCACAGCTCAGGGTGAGTGCACTAAACTGAAAACTTCTAACAAACTCCTTAGAAACATTGTAAAATAGAGATCAATGTTAACTAACACTTCATGGAAATCTCATGTCTTGAGAAAGCAGAGATTTTTCTTGATGGCAAGAGAAGCTGGGCAGCAGATAAGCTTAGGCCACTTGAAGGTCTCTGTACTGTTCCATCTGCAAACATGAGATCCAGGAGATTCAGCTGTTACCATGGTTTTAGAACTTTTGTAGAGTCTTGAAGGAGGTCATTCCAGGGATGAATGAAAGATACATTGATCTTTGACTTAAAGCATGCCACAGAAATATAGGGATTGAGAGCCTTGGAAGTGGACAAATGCCAACATTAGGAATCGTTCACGGAATCAAAGTTCTGAGGCCTCCATTCTCTGGCAGATTACCCTACTCTCCTAGATAAAACACATGGCAGAGTAAAGAATCCCCAGGATATATAGGCCAAGAGATAATTCTGTCATTGGCAGTTAGATAGAAGGTCAACACAGAGCATCAGGAGACCACATGGCCATATTAAAGCATCTTGGATGTCATCACAAACCAGGATCAGGGCTGTATTCTGTTATTGAAGCTAAATACAGAAGAGAGGGTGGGGAGGGATGGAGACAGAGGGTAAAGCAACTGTACCAAGGCTCTTCTGTGACACCATCATCATTCTCTTAGCTCTTGATGTTGAATGTCTCCAGGGTCTTTCAGATAAGGCCTTTCTGAAGGCCCCAGCATCCTTCAGAAGAGGGCTTCAGACTTTTTCTCCTATTTATTAATGCTTAGTACCTAGCTATTTAGGCACTTCACATTTTTTCTCCTATTTATTAATGCTTAGTATTTCACTGACTCCAATGGCTTTATAAGATGAAGACTCTCAAGTTTAGAACACCAATCCAGACCCCTTCCTATGCTCTAATCTCATATGTTCAACTGCATAATCAATATCTCTACCTGATGCTTAATAGGCATCTTGAAGTCAACATTGCCAGAAATAATACAGTGGTGACTCCTTCTGAGATCCGAGGCCCAAAAGATAAAATCCTACGAGATGAGGATAATTAGGTTCCTCATACTCTACTATACATCTCTAAGCAAACCCAATGTTTGGAAAGTGTGCCCACAGATTAGCTTATAGACATCAGGATCCACAAAATTGCTGTGACTACTTCTACACTCTTGGACTCCAACTATAAATAAATGACAGAATGCCAGACTGCCCAAGATCAGGGAATAAAGGAGACACTCCCACATTGCCTTTATATGTGATTAAGATGTCAGGTTTGTTGACCATACTCACTACAGGCATGAACAATTCAAGTGGTACAATATGAAATAGCACAGTCATAATAAATGCCATGCAATGAATTCTCATAAGTATCCCTTTGCATGACTTTAGGCTAACATAAATGCTGAAGCAATGGCTAATATTCAGTACAGCTGAGATATTTCCTGGCAGCTGCTGAAGAAACATGGAAAATGGACCAATAAGAACAGGCTGAAGAAGGCTGAAGTCAGCAACGAGGATGATAATTTATCAGAATATTTGGTACGTGACAACTGTTATAAAAGGTAAGGGCATGTACAGTTAATTCATCATTCAGCAATTTGATCAATGAAAGAGAAAGAAAGGAAGAAAGAGACAGAAAGAGAAGAAGGAAGGGAGGAAGGAGAAAGAAAGAAAGAAGGAAGGAAGGAAGGAAGGAAAGAAAGAAAGAAAGAAAGAAAGAGAAAGAAGGAAAGAAAGAAAGAGAAAGAGAAAGAGAAAGAAAGAGAAAGAAAGAGAAAGAAAGAAAGAAAGAGGAAAGAAAGAAAGAAGGAAGGAAAAGAAAAGAAAGAAAGAAAGAAAAAGAAGGAAGGAAGGAAGCAAGGAAGGAAGGGAGGGAAGGGAGAAAGAATCAAGAAACAATGTATCTGAAATATCAGTAAGGTCCCAATAGGTGCTCTGTCCTAGTCAGTTTGAGCTGCTGTAACAGAACACCATAGACTGTGTGCTTAAACAATAAACAGTGATTTCTCACAGTTCTAGAGGCTGGGAAGTCTCCAGGCATTTATGCTCAATCCT
Organism: Homo sapiens; assembly: GCF_000001405.40. Taxonomy (NCBI): domain Eukaryota; kingdom Metazoa; phylum Chordata; class Mammalia; order Primates; family Hominidae; genus Homo; species Homo sapiens. Next base: position 8,628,214 of record NC_000006.12, on the reverse strand, counting down.
TGTACTTTGCTTCTTGGACTGCCCCAGCATCTCAGAGTAAATTTCTGCCTTTGTTTCTTAGCTAATTCTTACCAAATTCTACAGAAAAGTCAAGAACAATGAGGACAGAAGAAAGAACTAAAAAGAATACAATTATTGATGACTGTGATCCCAGCAAAATGCTGAGTAAATTAGACTGAAATTTCAAAGGATTAAAATAAAGATTGTTAGAGGATGAATAGAGCGGGTTGAGAACATTTATTTAATACATGTCAGCAGTTAAAGCAAAATGAAATAAAATGATGGCTAGAAGAGGCAGACTATAAAAGGAAGAACTGTTTAAGAAAGGAGAGCCTGAGTGTTTGAAGGCAAGGAGAAAGGAATCGCTGTAATGAGAAAGACTTAAATCACAGTCAGGGGAAAAAATGAGCTTCAGAGTGAGATACCTCAAAATAACAACTGGACAGAACCTAGGACACAAATGGGGAGTGTTTGTTATAGTGAACAGGACTCAGCATGAGAGCTTAGCACAGAGGAAGAGATGAGTAAGAGAAAGAGATGAAAGTGGATGTTTCTGCAATGACTAGGGTTGGACTGTGAGAAAGAGGAAGTAAGAGTTAGTTTGGAACAGGGCCACAGGTGAAAGCAGTAAGGAATCAGAAGGAATAAATAGAAGAGCTTCCAAGAAGAAGCAAGTGCCAACATGTAGCTGGAAACAACATCTGCCATTTAAGTCTACATTTTTCTAGAAACAGAATTTAAAGCTATAAGATACCTCAGGAATGTTTTTATTTTTCCTAGTGATAATCTATGATCTAAAGAGAGGTGTGAATAATGTATATTTAAGAATTATTTTAGATTGGGGGGTTGATGTTGAAGGCTTATCTAAAATCAAGAGACTTCAGGAGTCTAGACTGATGTGTATGAGCCACTAAAACTAGAGACAGCCTCATCATTCAGCTGGGGAAAGATGATGTCATCAAAAGACATGAAATACTGGGGCAAAATAAAATAAACTAAAAGGGAGTGTGGATCAGGAGAGGAGAGATACTGAGAGTTAGGTTCAATGGGGATAAAGAAGAGGGAGACATGGCAAGCAAAACAGTGTGTCTGCAATGAGCCCACCAACTCAGATTTCAGCGGTATATGATGAGCAATTCCAGAGCATGGCAGCTAAACAGGGAGAGTGGAATGCTGCGACTGTTGATACTATGAGTCCGTAAAGCTTGCTTGATGAACTTTCAGTAAGAAAGCCAATGTCACTGAGAACAATGATCAGAAAGGAAGAATAAATGAATCAAATATTCTAATAACAACTAAGGAGGGTAAAGTCTGGAACAGACTCAAGGTTGACTCCCATCCGTTCCACTTAACAGTTATCTTTGGACAAGTTATTCAACATTGTGAGCTTCATTCTCCTCTGCTACAGAATAGAAACAATAAGTAGACACCTCTTAAGTATCATGATGAATAAATAAAATAAGGCACGCCAAGAGCTTAGCATGGAACCAGCGCAGAGTAACTCCTCAGTAAATGCTAGGAAATACCATTAGAAGGACAAAAATCAAATGCGGGGAGCCCTCCAGGGCAGCTAGAATGATTAAGAAAGGAAGCATAAAGAGGCATCTGGAAGACTTTGAAAGATAAGGAATGATGGATAGCTGGCAGTGTTCTGGAAAGATCCATCAAAAATGGCAGAGGGAAGGGCATGTGTCTGTTAAGACATGAGAACAAAGGAAAAAGTGAAAATGAAAAATGGGCTCAAGAGAGACAGAATTTCCCCAGTAGCCAATCAAAGACTTTGTAAGTCACAATCAAAAGAAGTAGGGGAAATGAGGGGGAAAGTATAAGGCAGTGGTGAACGCCCAAAGAAGAGATGAGCAGGAAAATGTTAGCTGTCGCGAGCACTGGAAAAGACTAGACGTGTCTAACTCCTCTCATCGTCAAGACCCAGAAGACATCTCCGCTAAACAAAAGGGGGAAAAACATCTGCTTCTCAAAGACAAAGGACCTGAATGTTTGTGTTCTGTTATCCCAAGAGCCAAGAACATGAAGTCAGGTGTGTGATGTTCCCCTTCCTGTGTCCATGTGTTCTCATTGTTCACACCGGGGCCTGTTGTGGGGTGGGGGGAGGGGGGAGGGATAGCATTTGGAGATATACCTAATATTAAATGAAGAGTTACTGGGTACAAGCACACCAACATGGCACATGTATACATATGTAACTAACCTGCACGTTGTGCACATGTACCCTAAAACTTAAAGTATAATTAAAAAAAATACACCTATTATAATAAAAGATTTTACTCTCCTGGAAAAAAAAAAAAAAAAAAGAACATGAAGTCAGAAAGAAAGATCACATAAGACATCATCGCATATGTGCTCACTAAGACCAAATAAGCTTTCACAGAAGTCTCATCCTCATAACTAGAAAAACACTACGTAGACCATTTTATGTTGCTTTTTTTTATTTCGTGTCTTTATTTTTCTGTCACCATGCTCAGGCCTCTCAAACATGTTTAAATAGTTGTGGTTTAACATTAATGAGGTACATGATCTTGATCTGCTAATGATACAGATTATGTTTTCCACCCCAAATATTGATTATTGTATGATGTAAGTAGTATTGTTCTGTTAAAATGCAGAACAGGTGAAAGCATCTTCCTACAGAATTCATAAAAATGTGAAGAATCTATGTGAACTATCTCTACTATTAATATCCACCAACCTTAGCTACAAATTCATCTATTTCTATTTTGGTATCTTCCATCATCCTTTTATCTTCCACTTCAGAATAAACACTTTTAGATTTTACTGGGCTACAGAACTTTTATTTTCTAATCATTCACTGCCATCCAAAAACAAAAGTTACCGCATGTTTTATAGTACATCACAATGGTGTTTGTGAGATTATACTGGGAAAACTGGAGGAGTGGGGGGAGGGTTCTATCTTTAGGCCATATCATTTACATATGAGAACCTAATACTATTTAAATAAGTGAAAATCACAGCCTTCCAACACAAAACCAGTTATTAAAACATTTCCATAAGCAAAATATTGAATCTTAAACTGAACTTGCACAAAATGGAAATGGACAGAAGGGCAGGTCACTAAAACAGTATTGTTTTAATCTTTTCCATGATCCTTTATATCCATGGATTTCTCTACATTCTCCCCTGTATATTTTATAAAAATCACTTTCAGGTTTATGGAAAATGGAGCACAAAGTGAGCAGTTTTTTAAAAATGAGTTGCATGGAAGAAAGAACAGCAACTAAGATTTTTGCGATTAATTTGATAGACTTCCAGTAGGAAGTATTTAGTTTATCTGCACATATAAAATGAATATTAAAATATTCATACCCCAAGGCTACCAGCAAAAGTAGATAACAGCTGTTGGTCTAAAATGTGGTTTCATTATGCAGAGATTGGAATAAGCTTGTAATTATGAATTAAAGCTGGAGCAGTTAAAAAATGTTGAGTAGATTTTCTAACCTCAACATTTAAAATCAGTTTTCTGTTAAGAAATAAAGTGTTCACAGCAATGGGCTTTCAAGTGGTATCAGCAATAGCAGACTTGCTTTTGCTCACCTCAAAGAAAAAAATGCAATAGATCCTTCACGTAAATTTCTTAATGATTTTTTTCCTAAAGCAGGTTTGATTATCTTATACTGAGTCCATATTCCAAACAAAACTCTAGTTTAATATTTGTTTTAGACCTGAAGACCCACTAATACAAGGAAACAAGGGTTTAAAATGTATTTTGGTTAATAATGCACATTATGAGTTTTTTATGTGTATGTATTCTTTTCCCTGGGACATGATACCACTACAACAGATAATATTTTTAAGGTAGTTACACTATCAGATTAACAAAATGAAGTATTATAAATAATATAATTTTCTTATTTGAAAATCACTGAAGTTAGAAATATATTTTTGATTGCATTCTGGTAGTAAAAAATAGGATAATCTCTTTTCCTATTGTTCAAGTAATAATCCACTGAGAATTGTGACTTTAGTTTAAAGCAATGTAAATAATATAAACTCTCACGCACACACACACACCCAACATAAACAAATTATATGGAACAGAGTAAAGCATGGATTTTCTCTCTCACTGCTCCCCTATTACAATCTGTTAAAAAACAGGATGGATTATTACTGGAAAGAAAAAGACAGACTATGACTGAACAATATGAATAGTGACTAAGAGATGCTTTTACCTTATTGTGACACATTTCGTTAAGAATTACAAAGCATTTTAAAAATACTTTCTTAGATTAAGTGTTATTATCTGTTCTTCAAAATGAAGAAATTTGGCTTCAGAAATTATGTACTAGACCCAAGATGAGTAACAGTTAAGTACTACAAAAAAAAAAAAAGATAAGAAACTAAGAAACTCTGTGTCCATTATTTGCTGTGACATTAACTTTCAGCTAAATTATTTGCGTCTTGGCACAATGAATCACATTTCCGTGCTACTTTTTCCTTTTAATACTATACTAATATTCTACCTTTCTGACTCTAAAATGTGCCTAGAAAATGAAGGGGAGAGTTAACACTCTAACTCTCCTCTACACATTCCACCTCCCTGAATCAGATGCAGGTAGGACAGCAAGGCAGACAGCACAGAACCTCTGCAACTGTTCCCGTAGCTCCAACCAGCACCTTGAGTTTTGAGCTGCTCATGCAGAAGGAAGGGAGAACAGAAACAATGATCTGAATCACATTTTTAAAAAATCAGACTATTTATTTTAAAATAATCTTAATAGTATAGCTGAATTGGAAAACAGAAAAAGAGAAGTTCATCTTTGTTATACTTTATGTTTGACAGCTTTAAACATTGTATGCCAGGCCGGACATGGTGGCTCACGCCTGTAATCCCAGCACTTTGGGAGGCCGAGGCGGGTGGATCACCTGAGGTCAGGAGTTTGAGAGCAGACTGACCAACATGGCGAAACCCCATCTCTGCTAAAAATACAAAAATTAGCTGGGTTTGGTGGTACGCACCTGTAACCCCAGTTACTCGGGAGGCTGAGGCAGGAGAATCTCTTGAACCTGGGAGGCAGAGATTGCAGTAAGCCGAGATCATGCCACTGCACTTCAGCCTGGGCAACAGAGCGAAACTCCATCTCAATCTCTCTCTCTCTCTCTCTCTCTCTCTCTATATATATATATATATGCTGTGAGTGTATTCACTCTGTTCCTGGAATGGAACAGTGGTAACAGAGCATCCAAAGATGAAAGACAAACCACGCAATGGCAAAAACCTGCCATTCTCCATGGAGCTCCAGTAATATATTCAATAATTTGTGTAGACAAACAGGCTTCTAAATGCCTTCCTTGAATAAATGATAACCATGAAAACAAATTGACCTCAAATATTTAAAAGTAACCTACTACTTTATTACCAATGTATCAGCAGATAAAAATAATTGCTTATCATAAAGATGACTTTCCAGTTATCCTTAACAGGAACCAAGAGAAACTTTGATGAGTGTAATCAATCTAAAATCTGTTTTTATGCTCATCCTAACAGAAGTTGTAATGCAAAAATTAGAATCTAAATATTTCTTAGATATAAAAACTTTTATAGCTGAATTATAAGTGAACATAAAGAAAAAGAGAGTATATTTCCTTCCCCAAAACTCAAATAAATAAACAATAAAATAGTTAACATAAGTATATAATACTTTGATGGTTTACATTAGATAATCATGTTAATGTTTTAATTAGAAGCTCATGGGTAATATTAAATACAAATGTAAACATTAAAAAATTTTCTAGTTATATTGTGGTGCCTTTTTTCCTGAGATAAAATGCCAATATAAAGGTAGTAGATAACATTAAAAGAAACATCAAAAATGTTGAAAAGAATTTCTTTTTCCTTGCAAATGCCAACACATAATTATATGGCAAGAACAGAACTTGTGTAATTTTTTATATAAAATAAAAGAAAAAACACCTTGAGAAATAACATCAGCCCTTAGAGCATCTAAATACGGTTTAACATCTTTGAAAATACCACACAAATATTAATTAATCCTCACTTAAAAATGGAGGTAGATAAGCATGATCATCACCCTCTGATGAAGAAATAGACAGTGTGGTCAAGAGTCTAGCCCAAGGACTTAGGCTGGGGTCATCTGTCTTCAAAAGTGTGTAACTCCAGAAAAAATCAGGAGGGAGAAGACATACTTCAGATTGCAGTTGTTTCTAAAACATTAGGGTTTCTGTTTATGGCCTGAATCTCACCCATTTATATTAATTGAACACCTTTCTTTAAGGATAGCACTCAGCCACACAGACATCCTGCGCTCTTTTAATTGAGCCCCTTTGGGGGAAAGTATCGTTTAAATATAACAATATATTCAGAACCCTAAAATAATTTGATCTATAATAAATTCTTAAGCAAGAGAGGAAGACCAGCCTGGGGACCCTGGGAGGGGAAGATTGCCAGGTACGAAGTCAGAGATTCACAAGGAAGTTGTAGAAGCTCCTTCCCTGGAGACTTTTAAAAATAGACTAGACAGCCCTCTCCATACCTTGGTGTAGGAGGCCCCATTATACTTTGCTATTAAAGAACTTCACTATAGGTTTCCTTAGACTTGATTTTTTAAAAAGGGAAGAAAAAAATGGGAGGAGGGGAAGGGAAAGCCACCTGGTGTGAGGAAAATTCAGTTTAATAAATGCCTTTGATAGTTTATTATAATATGAATTCTCTGATTTTCACGCTGATTTTAAGGATAACATCTTTAAGGGATTTAGATTCTGATATCTACTAGGTTTCTCTGCTTTACATTTTTATTACTATTTTGTTCACTATATATTGTGCTATTTTTATAACTTCAGTATATACCAGGTCAAGCAGAAATTGGAAGTTGTGTGGATATTTTGTATTTTTCCCTATTTTAATGCCATAATTCCCAATATAATTGAATATATATGAAAACACACACCCCTAGATATATAAAATATAATAATAACTTTTCAGGAGGAACAATCAGCATTTTAAATATATCTATCTTCTAATTAATAAACTATGGAATATAGTCATCACAAATTCCACATACCTTTCACCTTCAATTATGATTGAAGTTTGAGACACATCTTTTTCTTATTAAAAAAAAAATAAAAGAAAGAAAAAGAAAATGCTTCTGAGTTCATTCTGGATACTCGAATGTATGCTGAGCATTATGGAAACGATATTTTTTATCACCCACGCTCAAAACTTTGACAACTTTTTTACCTTTATGATTGACAGTATGTATTTGAGGCCTTTTGAGGACTACGGAGATTCTTCTGCATTAACTATTTGGTTATACTCATCATTTCTTTCTTAATTGAGTTACCCATTAGCATTTAGATAAGCTTCTCTTGAAAGTAAACTAGATGCTTTGGACAGATAGTGTTAAGCAGCTGAAAAATAGTATTCATTTGACTATGTCACAACTTCTAGAAAGTTCCACAAACTGTTCTAAAAGGTTTGGCAATTATATTACTTTCGTAAGTTTCTGCATATAGTATTTTTTAATACCCTATGATGCTGCAGCTGAATCATAGAGTAATCTTTCTGAAAATACTTCAAAAACTCCATTGGGGTCCAAATTCAAGCTAAAATTCATTATGGAGCAACAATGCAAAAAATAACATAATATGTCCACCAGCTACATCATAATGTATAAGTACATTGTAACGTAATTTCCCACCTAGCAGCTGACAACACTTTTTATCCTAATTGTGAATTCATCTATATTTAATAAATATTAATCAAGGACCCAAAACATGCTACCCATTACAGAGATTTCAGTAACATTTTAAGCTTTCCAAAGCATCACACATATTTATCCTTGGTATTAGTTTTCTATTGCTAATGTAACAAATTACCATAAACTGGCATCTTACAACCTAAGAGTGCTAGAAGTCAGAAATCTGACATGAGTTCCACTGAGCTAAAAATCAATGTGCTGGGGTGGTGGCTGGCAAGATGGCCAAATAAGAAGAGCTCCGGTCTGCAGCTCCCAGCGAGATCAATCCAGAAGGTGGGTGATGTCTGCATTTCCAACTGAGGTACCTGGTTCATCTCACTGGGACTGGTTAGACAGTGTGTGCAGCCCACGGAGGGTTAGCCGAAGCAGGGTGGGGTATTGCCTCACCCAGGAAATGCAAGGTGCCGGGGAACTCCCTCCCCTAGCCAAGGGAATCCATGAAGGACTGCTATCTAGCCCAGATACTATGCTTTTCCCACAGTCTTCACAACCTGAAGACCAGGAGATTCCCTCGGGTGCCTATACCACCAGGGCCCTGGATTTCAAGCACAAAACTGGGCGGCTATTTGGGCAGAAACCGAGCTAGCTTCAGGAGTTTTTTTCATACTCCAGTGCCGCCTGGAACACCAGTGAGACAGAACCGTTCACTCCCCTAGAAAGGGGGCTGAAGCCAGGGAGCCATGTGGTCTAGCTCAGCGGATCCCACCCCAACAGAGCCCAGCAACCTAAGATCCACTGGCTTAAAATTCTCGCTGCCAGCACAGCAGTCTGAAGTAGACCTGGGACGCTCAAGCTTGGTGGGAGGAGGGGTGTCCACCATTACTGAGGCTTCAGTAGGCGGTTTTTCCCTTGCAGTGTAAACAAAGCTGCCAGGAAGTTCAGACTGGGTGGAGCCCACCGCAGCTCCACAGAGCCACTGTAGCCAGACTGCCTCTCTAGATTCCTCCTCTTTGGGCAGGGAATCTCTAAAAGAAAGGCAGCAGCCCCAGTCAGGGGCTTATAGATGAAACTTCCATCTCCCTGAGACAGAGGACCTGGGGGAAGGGACAGCTGTGGGCACAGCTTCAGCAGATTTAAACGTTCCTGCCTGCTGGCTCTGAAGACAGTAGCGGATCTCCTAGCACAGCACTCAAGCTCTGCTAAGGGACAGACTGCCTCCTTAAGTGGGTCCCTGATCCTTGTGCCTCCTGACTGGGAGACACCTCCTAGCAAGGAGAGCTCTGGCTAGCATCTGGCAGGTGCCCCCCAGGGCAAAGTTTTCAGAAGAAGAAACAGGCAGCAATCTTTGCTGTTCTGCAGTCTCTGCTGGTGATACCCAGGTAAACAGGGTCTGGAGTGGACCTCCATCAAACTCCAGCAGACCTGCAACAGAGGGACCTGAATATTGGAAGGAAGACTAACAAACAGAAAGGAATAGCATCAACATTAACAAAAAGGCTATCCACACAAAAACCCCATCAGACAAACAGCGGATATCCACAAAGGGAAACCCATCAGACTAACAGTGGATATCTCTGCAGAAACCTTACAAGCCAGAAGAGAGTGGGGGCCCATATTCAACATTCTTAAAGAAAAGAATTTTCAACCCAGAATTTCATATCCAGCCCAACTAAGCTTCATGAGTGAAGGAGAAATAAAACCTTTAACAGACAAGCAAATGCTGAGAGCTTTTGTCACAACCAGGCCTGCCTTACAAGAGCTGCTGAAGGAAGCACTAAGCATGGAAAGGAAAAACTGCTACCAGCCACTGTGAAAATGCCAAATTGTAAAGACCATCGACACGCTGAAGAAACTGCATCAACTAACAGGCAAAATAACCAGCTAACATCATAATGATAGGATCAAATTCACACATAACAGTATTAACCTTAAATGTAAATGGGCTAAATGCCCCAATTGAAAGACACACTGGCAAACTGGAGAAAGAGTCAAGACCCATTGGTGTGCTGTATTCAGGAGACCCATGTCACGTACAAAGACACACATAGGTTCAAAATAAAGGAGTGGAGGAATATTTACTAAGCAAATGGAAAGCAAACAAATTTTTAAAAAAGCAGAGGTTGCAATCCTAGTCTCTGATAAAACAGACTTCAAACCAGCAAAGATCAAAAAAGACAAAGAAGGGCATTACATAATGGTAAAGGGATCAATGCAACAAGAAGAGCTGACTATTGTAACTATATATGCACCCAGTACAGGAGCACTCAGATTCACAAAGCAAGTTCTTAGAGACCTACAAAGAGACTTTGACTCCCACACAATTATAGTGGGAGATTTTAACACCCCACTGTCAATATTAGACAGATCAATGAGACAGAAAATTAACAAGGATATTCAGGACTTGAACTCAGCTCTGGACCAAGTGGACCTAATAGACATATACAGAACTCTCCAAATCAACAGAATATACATTCTTTTCAGTACCACATCAGACTTATTCTAACATCGACAACATAATTGGAAGTAAAACACTCCTCAGCAAATGCAAAAGAATGGAAATAATAACAAACAGTCTCTTAGATCACAGTGCAATCAAATTAGAACTTCGGATTAAGAAACTCACTCAAAACCACACAACCACTGAACAACCTGCTCCTGAATGGAAACTGAACAACCTGCTCCTGAATGGCTACTGGGTAAATAACAAAATTAAGGCAGAAATAAGGAAGTTCTTTGAAACCAATGAGGACAAAGACACAACTTACCAGAATCTCTGGGACACAGCTAAAGCAGTGTTTACAGGGAAACTTATAGCACTAAACACCCACAGGAGAAAGTGGGAAAGATCTGAAATTGACACCCTAATATCACAATTAAAAGAACTAGAGAAGCAAGAGCAAAAAACTTCAAAGGCTAGCGGAAGACAAGAAATAACTAAGATCAGAGCAGAACTGAAGGAGATAGAGACATGAAAATCCCTTCAAAACATCAATGAATCCAGAAGTTGCTTTTTTGAAAAGATTAACAAAATAGATAGAACACTAGCCAGACTAATAAAGAAGAAAAGAGAGATGAATCAGACACAATACAAAATGAAAAAGGGGATATCACCACTGATCCCATAGAAATACAAACTACCATCAGAAAATACTATAAACACCTCTATGCAAATAAACTAGAAAATCTAGAAGAAATGGATGAATTCCTGGACACATACACCCTCCCAAGACTACACCAGGAAGAAGTCGAATCCCTGAATTGACCAATAACAAGTTCTGAAATTGAGGCCGTAATTAATAGCCTAGCAACCAAAAAAGCCCAGAAGCAGACAAATTCACAGCCGAATTCTACCAGAGGTATAAAGAGGAGCTGGTACCATTCCTTCTGAAACTATTCTAAACAATAGAAAAAGAGGGACTCCTCCCTAACTCATTTTATGAGGCAATCATCATCCTGATACCAAAACCTGGCGGAGACACAACAAAAAAAGAAAATTTCAGGCCAATATCCCTGATGAACATCGACGTGAAAATCCTCTATAAAATACTGGCAAACCAAATCCAGCAGCACATCAAAAAGCTTATTCACCATGATCAAGTCAGCTTCATCCCTGGGATGCAAGGCTTGTTCAGCATACACAAATCAATAAACATAATCTACCACATAAACAAAACTAATGACAAAAACCACATGATTATCTCAATAGATGCAGAAAAGGCCTTCAATAAAATTCAGCACCCCTTCATGCTAAAAACTCTCAATAAACTAGGTATTGATGGAATGTAACTGAAAATAATAAGAATTATTTATGACAAACCCACAGCCAATATCACACTGCATGGGCAAAAGCTGGAAGCATTCCCTTTGAAAAGCAGCACAAGAAAAGGATGCCCTTTCTCACCACTCCTAGTCGACATAGTATTGGAAGTTCTGGCCATGGCGATCAGGCAAGAGAAAGAAAGAAAGGACATTCAAGTAGGAAGAGAGGAAGTCAAATTGTCTCTGTTTGCAGATGACAGGATTGTATATTTAGAAAACCCCATCGTCTCAGCCCAAAATCTTCTTAAGCTGATAAGCAACTTCAGCAAAGTCTCAGGATACAAAATCAATGTGCAAAAATCACAAGCATTCTTATACACCAATAATAGACAAACAGCCAAATCATGAGTGAACTCCCATTCACAGTTGCTATAAAGAGAATAAAATACCTAGGAATACAACTTACAAGGGATGTGAAGGACCTCTTCGAGGAGAACTATAAACCACTGCTCAAGGAAATAAGAGAGGACACAAACAAATGGAAAAACATTCCCTGCTCATAGATAGGAAGAATCAATATCGTGAAAATATCCATACTGCCCAAAGTAGTTTATAGATTCAATGCTATCCCCATCAAGCTACCAATGACTTTCTTCACAGTATTAGAAAAAACTACTTTAAATTTCATATGGAACCAAAAAAGAGCCCATATAGCCAAGACAATCCTAAGCAAAAAGAACAAAGCTGGAGGCATCAAGCTATCTGACTTCAAACTCTACTACAAGGCTACAGTAACCAAAACAGCATGGGACTGGTAACAAAACAGATATATAGACCAATGGAAGAGAAAAGAGGCCATAGAACAAATGCCACACATCTACAACCATCTGATCTTTGACAAACCTGACAAAAACAAGCAATGGGGAAAGGGTTCCCTATTCAATAAATGGTTTTGGAAAAACTGGCTAGCCATATGCAGAAAACTGAAACTGGACCCCTTTTTTACACCTTATACAAGATGGATTAAACACTTAAACATAAGACCTAAAACCATAAAAACCCTAAAAGAAAACCTAGGTAATACCATTCAGGACATAGGCACGGGCAAAGACTTCATGACTAAAACACCAAAAGCAATGGCAACAAAAGCCAAAATTGACAAATGGGATCTAATTAAACTAAAGAGCTTCTGCACAGCAAAAGAAACTAGCATCAGAGTGAACAGGCAACCTATAGAATGGGAGAAAATTTTGCAGTCTATCCATCTGACAAAGGGCTAATATCCAGAATCTACAACGAACTTAAACAAATTTACAAGAAAAAATCAAACAACTCCGTCAAAAAGTTGTCAAAGCATATGAACAGACATTTCCCAAAAGAAGACATTTATGCAGCCCACAAACATATGAAAAAAGCTCATCATCGCTGGTCATTACAGAAATGCAAATCAAAACAATAATGAGATACCATCTCACACCATTTAGAATGGTGATCATTAAAAAGTCAGGAAACCACAGATGCTAGAGAGAATGTGGAGAAATAGGAACACTTTTACACTGTTGATGGGAGTGTAAATTAGTTCAACCATTGTGGAAGTCAGTGTGGCGATTCCTCAATGATCTAGAACCAGAAATACCATTTGACCCAGCAATAACATTACTGGGTATATATCCAAAGGATTATAAATCATTCTACTATAAAGACACATGCACATGTATGTTTACTGCAGCACTATTCACAATTGCAAAGACTTGGAACCAACCCAAATGCACATCAATGATAGACTGAATAAAGAAAATGTGGCGCATACACCATGGAATACTATGCAGCCATTAAAAAAGATAAGTTCATGTCCTTTGCATGGACATGGATGAAGCTGGAAACCATCATTCTCCGCAAACTAACACAGGAACAGAAAACCCAACACCACATGTTCTCACTCATAAGTGACAGATGAACAATGAGAACACATGAACACAGGGAGGGGAATATCACACACCAGGGCCTGTCAGGGGCTGGGGTGCTAGGGGAGGGATAGCATTAGGAGAAATACTGAATGTAGATGACGGGTTGATGGGTGCAGCAAACCATCATGGCACGTGTATACTTACGTAACAAATCTGCACATTCTGCACATGTATCCCAGAACTTAAAGTATAATAATAATAAAAAAAAATCAATGTGCTGGTAGGGCTGGCATTCCCTTCTAGAAGGTGTAGGGAAGAACCTATTTCTTGCCTTTTGCAGATTTTGGAGACTGCCACATTCCTGGGCTGGTGGCCACCTTCCTCCATCTTCAACAGTGATCCTCAACCTTTCTGCACTAGCGACCGGTTTTGTAGAAGACATTTTTTTTCACAAACGAAGGCAGGGTGGGGATGATTTTCGGATTATTCAAGTGCATTATATTTATTGTGGACTTTATGTCTATTATTATTACATTGTAACATATAATAAAATAATTACACAACTCATCATAATGTAGAATCAGTGGGAGCCCTGAGCTTGTTTTCCTGCAACTAGACAGTCCCATCTGGGGGTGATGAGAGACAGTGACAGCTCATCAGGCATTAGATTCTCATAATAAGCACACAGCCTAGATCCCTTGCATCCACAGTTCACAATAGGCTTCATGCTCCTGTAAGAATCTAATGCCATTACTGATCTGACAGGGGGCAGAGCTCAGGCAATAATGAATGATGGGGAGCTGCTATAAATACAGATGAAGCTTTGTTCACTCACCCACTGCTCACGCCCACTGTGTGGTGCAGTTCCTAACAGGCCATGGAACAGTACTGGAGCCTGGGGAACCCTGATCCTCAAAGGGCAGGTTGAGGCCTTCTCAGGTCACTTCACTCTGACCTGCTCTGCCTCCCCTTTCACTGTTAAGAACTCTGTGATCACATCTGATCAGCTGATTAGCAATCTTAATTCCATATAGGACCTCATTTCCTCTTTACCATGTGATGTAACAGAGTTGCAGATTCCAGGGACCGGGATATGGACCTTTTAGGGGGAGGGAAGCAATTATTATCCCTACCAACTTCTTAATCTGAACTACAGATTTATGATAAATTCCCCCATTCCTGAAAAGTACTGAAAAAATGCTTGAAACTGTATGCAACCAGGAAGGAGGGGGATGCCGGCTACATCTTGATACAGCATCTGCATCTTGTAGTGCACTAAGGGGAGGGAGAGGAGACGGTGGCAGAGGCAGAGGCTGGTATCTAGCCCTTCTGGGCATCACAGCACAGTACTGAGTTCCTGGAAGCTCTAGCGCTCAAATTAAAATGTGGCCATCCATGTTGTTATAACTTATATTTGCCAAGGTAGGAGGGTAGAGCATGCAGTAAGTAGTCTCTTGGTATCCATTTGGGATGAGTTTCAGGAGCCCCTGTAGATACCAAAATCTGTAAGTGCTCAAGTCCCTGATAAAAAATGTAGAATTTGCACATAACCTGCACATATCCTCCCATATATTTAAATAATCTCTAGATTACTTACAATACCTAATACAATGTGAATGCTGCATAAATAGTTATACTGTATTGTTTAAGGAGTCATGACAAGAAAAAAAAACTCTGTACAGGCTCAGTACAGATATAACCATCCTTTTTTTCTTCCAAATATTTTCCATCCGCAGTTGGTTGAATTCACGATGTGATGGAACCTAAAGATATGAAGGGCCAACTGTATTTGAGAATTTGTTAGTTTGATTTATTTCTTTTAAGTATTTATGCATAGGGTATATGGATGTCCATTGGTACACTCCTGCCTTGGGTCTTCAAAATACCAGAGGCCAGTCTGTCTCAGGTATCCTCATTCTGATACTTTAATTCAAATTAAATTTGCACATCTATGAAACAAGTTAACATCTCCCCAGAAAACAGTCTGCTGCCAAATACTAGGATGTATTTAATTTCTTTTGCCTTAATTTGAATTATTCTCTGAGACTACCAGCATTTGTTAAACTCAGTGTTTGAAGGACTTGGATGATTTTAACTTCATTTTCTTATTACTCATGTGTATGTCTGTCTAAATAAGGGTTCTGAGTTAGCTTATATATAATGGAAAGCCAGGGGAAACCATGAGAACTCTGGGGACATAGGATGAGCTGAGCATAAAGGTTCTCGATAGAGAATCTAAGAGCAGGAAAAATAAGTAGGGTCACTCCAAGTAATGATAACAGATTTTGATCATGTTTTGCTGGTAGAATTATGACATAAAATCTGGAGAATCCAGGAATTTTACATAGGTGTTCCTACTGATTCATTTAGTGAACAAAATTTTAACTTGGCAAAAAGTATTTGCAGAAATGCAAATTCAAGGTCTTCTTATAATAAAATATGAATCTGAAATTTCATGGGACATGCTAGGACATGACCAACAGCAAGTCTAATCAACGCTGATCATGTGGACTAACACCATCTCTGATAAATGGGCATCAATCTCTAATTGAAGACCAATCTTATTTTTAATATATTGCCTCACTGTTACTACATATTTAGCTATTTGTGTTATTGAAAACAAAACAAAACACAAAAAATTCCAGGTTGTTTTCTTACATCCAACCTCTTTTTGGAGAGGAACTCTGGAAAAAATTAACATATTTCTAATCTCTTATTGATTATGACTTCCACTGGTTATGGATAACAATTACATGAAGTTGACAAGGTTCATTCCTATTAGTTTGAGCCATAAAAAAATCAATTAGTCTTTGTTTTGTATAACTATTTTATAAACATACTATTGGATTGTTCTTTCCTGTAAGATTGTTTGATTATGTCTTCTGCCAAAGAATGGGGGGAAATTAATTACCTTAAAAAATTACTGAATCTTAAGAAGTATTTTACAAAATGCCATTTTTTTACTTAATAAAGGGCCAGCTCATATTTCATGAGTTTCCATTCATCTGACAGAGCTGTGGTGTTTGTAATTGTGTATATAAAGTCATCAGTCTTCTAGAACCATCTTTAGCTGAGCAAGCCCCAAAGCATGGTCCATTCTGCTCAGATCTGATCAGCATCTTTATAGCATATCAGCCTTGGGGTTCAATTTTGTTTTGGATGCTTTTATAAATGAGCACAATCACTAGTGAATCTGTTCTTCCAGATTGCAAAGAGAAAAATTGAGAGAGGAACTTTAGTAGATTACTGTGTCATTGAGAATAAAATACAAGCACAAATGCACCTAATGTAGTCTCAGGGATGATTTTGTCGGGTGTACATTTTCAGTTTTATTTCAGTAAAATTAGATGATTGTCTTAGTTATTATCGTTTTTGAAATTATGCGCTAACCCCAGGCTAGGGGTATGATCAATGCGCTATCTAAAAAAATCAATTTGTTCCAAAGTACTATGTTTTTCTTAAAAGGAAGGAAAGGTAAAAGAAAAGAGAAGCAGCAATAGAGGAAAAGCGTAAGAATTATTTCAGGACTTTCTTCATTTAGACAGGTGTATGATGCATTTAATACTTTTTACTAGCTAGATTCAACAGTATAGTTGTTCTTAGGAACCAAGACATCTGCAGAAATAGCAGAAACCAAGAGGAAATTTTAATCATTTTAATGGCTTTTGTACTTATAAAATTTTCTCAGAAAAGAGCTCATAATACTATTACCTTAATGAGTATTTTAAGTCAGTAGAACAATTACAGTATAACATTCAGATAAAAGTTTTATTTTATATATATATTTATAAAAACCTTTTGCTGTAGCCAATGTAGATCAAATAAAACATTGTTTTATTTAATATTTTAATAGAAGAAATAACATTTCCAAAGGTCAGGATATCAAACCATCAAGAGCTTATTTGTAATTTATGAAGCCTCAGAAAGACTATGAGGTTGTTAAAGCAATTCCAGTGCCCAGCCAGACATAATTTTCCCCTTTTCTGCTAGAAATGTAGAGGAGTAATAGCAGCATCAAAAATCCATGTCAATCCTGTCCTATTCCTGGAAACCTACTTCCAGTTATTGTAAACTATAACTATATACTAGAGATTTTACTCTGCATTGCAGGAGTGAACACTGACATGAATGAGCCTCAGATAACATTCCGTTTGCCTGGTTCCTATCTACCTATTCTGTGCAGGGCAGCATATCCTATAGCATCTTTTTAAAATAACACTCACAAACAGAACTGAAAAGTGAAATACAATCCAGCAATCACACTCTGGTATTTTTCAAAGTGAGTTGAAAACCTACACCCACACAAAACTTTCACATGGACACGTATAGCTGCTTTATTTATAATTGCCATAACTTGGAAGCAACCAAGATGTCCTCCAGTAGATGGCTGGATAAGTAGACTGTGGTACAACTAGACAATGAAATATCATTCAATGCCAAAAAGATGTGAGCCATCAGACTATGAAAATACATGAATGACACAAATGCTTATTACTAAGTAAAAGAAGCTGCTCTAAAATGCTACCTACTACTGTACGATTCCAACTATATGACATTTTGGAGAAGACAAAACTATGGAGAGAGTAAAAAGATCAATGGTTGTCAGGGGTTTGGGGAAAGAAAAAGAGAGATGAATAGGCAGAATACAGAAGATTTTTAGGGCAGTGAAACTATTCTGTATGATACTATAACGGTAGACACATGACATTATACATTTGTCAAAAAACAGAGAATGTACAATACCAAGAGAAAACCCTAATGTAAACTGTGTGCTTTGAGAGATAATGATGTGCCAAAGCAGGTTCCCTAATTGTAACAAATTCTCACTATGGCTAGGGATGATGATAATGGAGGAAACTGTGCATGGCGGGGGTAGGGGGTAGGTGAGACATCTCTGTATTTTCTATTTCACTTTGCTGTGAACCTCAAACTGCTCTAAAAAATAAAGTATATTTTTTTAATGTGAAACAAATCCCTGAGACCACTTCAGGTGCATTTCTTCTCATAATTTCTTCTCCATCACACAGTAATCTACTAAAGTTTATTTCTTGACTTTCGGCCCCTATCACAACATCTTTAGAGTTGACTGCATGTCTGACCATTTTGACTGCATTCACCTTTATGGTCACATAAGTTCACTTCTATACCAATCAGCAATAGAGCCACAAATACCAGATCAACAGCCAAGATTTCTGGTTCCCCGGGCCCACGACTCATTATCTTGTTATTTTTATGTCAAACAGAAGCTAGAAAAGAACTTTATAGAAGTTATGAATGATTTAAACGATTTTTAATTACTTTTTTTTGAAATAAAACAAAACTACTTCTGGTATTTCTCTAAAAATATAATTTACCACATTTCCCCACCCCCACCCCATGGTTTTTTCCTCCTTTTTTGTAAATTTCAATTTCATGAAACTAAGTGTAGTTAAATGTAATTAACATGAAAAATATTGAAAAAGTGGCTGCCATTTCGGCCAGAGTACACTATACTCAGAAGTTTGTGGAGAGCTTCAGCTTTTAGTAAAACTGAACACATTTTGGGTTAGCTACAAAGAGAAAAGGTAAGGGATGAAGTAGGATTTCTGAGTGTTGGCTTCATGCACAAGTCAAATGGAGATAAGGAACTTCATTGCCAGCGTTCGATTGGGTCACAAAAAGACACATTTGAAGGAAGGAAGAATTATAAAAAAATTACTGCGTAGCTAGTAGAGATCTTTCAACCAGACCTCTCACCCTTGGAGGAGGGGGAAAGGAGACGTTAAGCACCACAGTAGGAAGATATTAATAAATAAAACTAAACTAAAAAGAGCAGTATCTGAGAGAAAAAAATGACAAAGAATGATAGACCCTCTAACAGCAGATTCAGAGCTAAAATACTTCCAGCCTAGGGCAGCTGCCCCCCGATGGAAAGAGATCGCCAGTGTGCTTCCTGCCTGGGCTGGGCAGCTCAGGATTCAGGTACAGCTCAGCTCACCATCACATCTCAGGCGGTGCTGAGGAAATAAGAGAAACACCATGTTTGTAAGGTTAAATAGACTTACAGAGAAAAAGAAATTAGGAATATAGGCAATTCTATGGAAACCAGAAATAGAAGTGCGAGTAGAAATATTGGTAAGAACTTTTAGATGCCGTAAGTATTCAAAAGTTCTTACCAATATTTCACTGTTTGGCCTTTTGAAGACATCTATGGTGAAAAAAAATTCCATATATGGGTATCTACCCAGAGGAAAAGAAGTCACTATACAAAAAAGATACTTACACACACGTTTATAGCAGCATGATTTGCAATTGCAAAAATATGGAAGCAGCCCAAATGCCCATCAGTCAACAAGTGGATAAAGAAACTATGATATGTAATGGAATACTACTCAGCCATAAAAAGAAACAAAATAATGGCATTCACAGCAACCTGTATGGAGTTGGAGACTCTTATTCTAAGTGAAATAACTCAGCAATGGAAAGCCAAACATCATATGTTCTCACTCATATGTGGGAGCTAAGCCATGAGGGTGCAAAGGCATAAGAATGATACATTGGACTTTGGGGACTCGGAGGTAAGGGTAGGGACTGGGGAGGGATAAAAGACTACACATTGGGTACAGTGTACACTGCTCGGATCATGGGTGCACCAAAATCTCAGAAATCACCACTAAAGAACTTATTCATGTAACCAAACACCACCTGTTTCCCAAAAACCTATGGAAATAAAAAAGAATAAAATTTTAAAAATTCTATACATGGGGATTAAGTAGGAGAAAATAAATAGCTCCCAGTCTCTGTGCTGGTCAGATTTGGAAAACAGGTACAAGTTAAAGCCAATGGGGTGCTGTTGTTTGAAGCAAGGAAAGTGTGAAAGCTTTTTTTAAATTAGATAAATATTTATTCTGTAATAGTATGTAATAGTATGAGCCAGGAACTGTATTGTTAATCTCATTTGACAGAACTACTTTGTAACATATATATTATTTTTTAAATTTTTATTTTATTCTGGTAAGAACACTTCATATAAGATCCACCCTCAAGTTCTTAAGGGTACAATGCAGTGTTAATTATAGGTACAATGTTGTACAGAAGAGCTATAGAATGTATTCATCTTATTTAAATGAAACTTTATGCAGTCATTAGAAACATACCATTTCCTCATTCCCCAGCCCCTGACAACCACATTCCACTCTTTGATTCTAGGAACTTGACTATTTTAGATACTTTCTATAAGTAAAATCATGCAGTATTTGTCTTTTCATGACTGGTGTATTTTACTTAACATAAGAGGATGAACCTCAAGATTCATCCATGTTGTCACATATAACAAAATTTCCTTCCTTTTTAAGGCTGTATAATATTCATTTGTGTGTATATACCATATCTTCTTTACCCACTCATGGGTCAATGAGCATTTAAGTTGTTTCTACATCTTGAATATTGTGAATAGTGCTACATTGAACATAGGAGTGTGGATTATATTACGCTGATGCTGATTACGTTTTTGTTTTTTGGATAAATACCCAGAGTAAGATTGCTGGATCATATAGTAATTCTACTTTTAATTTTTTGAGGACTCTCCATACTGTTTTCCATAGCAATTGCACCACTTTGCATTTCCACTAAATGTTGTACAAGGGTTCCAATGTATTCACATCCTCACCAACACTAGTCATGTTTTCTGTTTCTTCAGTAATAGCCAACCTGACAGGTGTGAAGTGATATCTCACTGTGGTTTTGATTTGCATTTCCCTGACGATTAGTGATGTTGAGCATTTTTTCATATGTCTGTTGGCCGCTTGTATGTCTTCTTTGGACAAATGGCTCTTCAGGTCTTTAGCCCATCAACAGAGTGATGAGGCAACCTACGGAATGAGAAATGTTTGCAAACATATATTTGACAAACATTAATCTCCAAGATATATAATGAACTCCTGCAACTAAAGAGCAAAAAGCCCAATAACCCAATTAAAGATGTGCAGTTCCTTTTTAGAATTTAGGTCCAAAATGTTAATGGTTGCTTTCTTGAAATTTTATTGGTAGAGTGGAAGAATCAGAGCAAGATTAAAGTGCTCATCCTCAGAGGACTGGATGGTATTTTCCTCACCAGCTAAAGCCTCCTCATTCACCTCCTCATCTCTGAGCAATGCCTTGGGATTTATTTCTTGAATTAATTCAGATGTGGGGTGTAAATGTATACATCTATATGACATTTTTCTGTATCATAAAATCTAAATTTATTAATAAACAGGAAAAGCTTTGTATTTTGTATTATACGGATATAAGTTAAATACTAGAGAAAATAAATAATTTTCCACATTTTAATTTTTAAGATTGCATATTGTCTTCAGAATGAGGACTATCACAATTCTGGTATTACTAGTCCCACATCAATTCTATTTGCCTTATCAAATTGGGGTAGTCTAAAACTGAATAAATGACATGAATAAGTTATGCCTCATGTCTGACTGTTTAATAGAAACATATGTTCTTTGTACTTTTTCAGTTCTCTCTCTTGTTTGCCCATAATTTTAATAAGCGCACTCACTTTATTGTCAAGATTAATAATGTGATATAATCACTGGGAAATTGCAAGACTGCCCTCCCTGCAACACAATCCCCAGCAATGAAACTTCTACATGTTACATGTCAAACGTCACCACTTGTCCAAAAAGTGGAGCCGATCAGGTCAGAAAGTATGTCAACACAGGAGGATTTTAAATTAAAAATTTCCTGATTTTACCCTGTGCTACTCTCTAAACCCTGGAATTTGGAAGGACTGATACTTTCATGAGTGGGCTATAATACCAGCTCTGCTTGAAAATGTATTTTCCAAATGTTGAGGATTTTTGCCATCCATTTGTGAAGTTACTAAAGGAACTGGCTCCTAAGAGAAAGGACTGGATTTGATACGAAGTATGTACAAAATAATAAATGGAGTCACTAAATAAATATTCAAATAAGTTATAGACTCCTAGTCAAAATGATATTTTGATGAACATCAACAAACCTCATCTGTTCCAAACACATGTTAATGGTAGACAAAATTATATATATATATATATATAACTATTATTTATATATAACTATTATATATATTTCTATATAACTATTATATATATTTCTATATATACAACTATTATATATATTTGTATATATAACTATTATATATATAACTATTATATATATGTATATATAACTATTATATATAGGTATATATATATAATAATATATACCAATAAATGTGTGTGTGTGTGTGTGTGTGTATATATATATATACACACACACACACACACACAAAAAGACACACACTAGCTTGTAAACCTCTCTGTGGATGGGAGCTAGCAAGAAGCCCAGTGGAGAGCAAGACTGAAGGCACAGGCTGGCTGGGTTCCAGCAGAGAGAAAGGCAATGGGGCCAGGAGCTGGATTCCTACAGGGCATCAGAGGGCAGAGGGCAGAATGGCTCACCTGAGATGGGGGAAAAGAACTCAACATCCCCACCCATGAAACGAAGCTAGAAAAACAACAGCTGCTGGTTGGGACTGGGACGTCTGTAAGGAAGTGTGCCTGAGGAGGGTAGAGGACAGAGCCACTGCCTCAGACCTAGCTGCTGAGCCATGCTACCTGCTGCTTGGTAACCACATCTGTGATGTCTCCACATGCCACCCAGGAGGAGCATCAGAGAAACATTTGAATGCTGAGTTCTGAATCTGGGGCCTGGAGGGCTGGAAAAAAAGGCATGTCACCAGTCAGAACATCCCACTAGTTGGGAAGAATGAGAGGGAGGAGAAAGGGAGAGAGGGAAAAAAAAACACAAATAATTTTCCATTCAAAACCAGTTTGGAAACCAAAATATCAAAATACATAATGAAGAATTCTAATGATAAAAAGTCAACCAATTTAATCAACATAATTAAAAGACAAATTCGCCCAGAAAAAATTAATATTCGCAGTCTAGAAAAGACTTTAACATACTTAGGAGACTTAAAGAGACAAATGAATGATTAGCATTAATTTAAAAGAAAAATAAATGATGGAGTAAAAAATAGGGAGGAAAATGACAGAAAATAGGTATTTTTAAAATGAAAAAAAAGATATTTCAGACAATAAAGATTTCAGAAATAAAGAATTAAAATGACAAACTAAATTCTAGACTGCATAGAGATAAAGAATTTATGAGCTGAATAATGGTACAGTACTAAAGGATTTGCCCAGAATATGACTCGAATAGACAGAAATATTACATTTTTAGGAATTTTGTAGGTATATTAAATGATAATTTTCCAAAACAAAAGAGAAACATTAGTTGCAAGATCAGAATGTATTTAGTATGTTAAGAAAAATAAATAAGTACAAATCAACTCCAAAAAATATTGCAGTGCGACTATAAAAAAAAGAGAAAAAGCAAAATCTAAAATACTATAAAAGAAAAGATAAACTACAAAGTAGGGAAAACCCAGCTTCCTATCAGTAATAATAGAGGTCAGAAGACAATGGAATAGTATCTTCAAAGCTAACAGAAAGTAATTGTCAGCCTAGAATTTTATATCTAAACCTTATTCAAAAATGAATCCCAAATAAGCAATTTGAAACATAAATAGAGAACTACTACCTATAGGTCCTCAGTATTAAAAAATATTCCAAAGAAAGGTTAATCCAGAGTAAGAAATGGGAGTTAAGAAACAAGAGTGCTCCCAGCTATTTGAGAGGCTGAGACAAGAGGCTCACTTGAACTGAGGAGTTTGAGTCCAGCAAAACCCTTTGATAGCAAGACCAGTCGAAGAACTGGAAGAGAGAGAGAGAGACAGAGAGAGAGAGAGAGGAAGGAAAGAGAAGAAAAGAAAGAAAGAAAGAGAAAAGAAAGAGAAAAAGAAAGAAAAGAAAGACAGGAGGAAGGGAGGGAGGGAAGGAAGGAAGGAAGGAGAGGGAGGGAGGGAGGAAAGAGGAAGGAAGGAAAGAAAGAGAAAGAAAGAAAGGAAGGAAGGAAGAAAGAAGGGAGGGAAGGAAGGAGAAAGAAGGGAGGGAGGGAGGCAGGGAGGGAGGAAGGAAGGAAGGAGGAGGGAAGGAAGGAAGGGAGGGAGGGAGGGAAGGAAGGAAGGGAAGGAAGGAAAAGAAACAGAGTGAGAGAGAGAAATAAAAGAGAGTAAGAGAGAAAAGAAACAGGTTGGGTGTGATGACTCATGCCTCTAATAATCCTAACACTTTGGAAAGCTGAGCCAGGAGGATTGCTAGAGGCTAGGAGTTTGAGACCAGCTTGGGTCTCAAACATAGTGAGACCCCCCCATCTCTAAAAAAATAAAAAATTAGCTGAGTGTGGTGGTGTGCACCTGTGGTCCTAGCTACTAGGGAGGCTGAGGTGGGAGGATCACTTAAGCCCTGGAAGTTGAGGCTGCAGTGAGCCATGATTGTACGAGTGAGAGAGTGAGATCCAGTCTCCAAAACAAAAACAAAAACAAAAAAAAAACAGAAAGAAAGAAACAAATAAAGGTGCACAAATCTTAAAAACATATGCTAGTAAGAAGTATTTGTTTATTCATTCATTCATTCATTCATTTATTATTTAGTGATATTCTCTAAGAAGTGATCATAATATTTCTTTATGATTCTTAATTAAAAATAAAGTTGGGGACTGAGATCATCATGATAGACAGGAGATAGGACTAGATTGCCGCTCTGACTCAGATGGACAGAGCAGTTTGCAAAGGCTTGCATTGTGAATTTTAGCTCCAGATCGACTGCAAGAACAAACCAGCAATCCCGAGAGGACCCACAGACCCTCTGAAGGAAGTGGACTGCTCCTGCAGGACCCAGGAGACATCCCAGATACTGTTAGTGCCCCAACTGTGGAAGTGGGAAAAGAAGAGCCTCCTCTCCCGAACACTCACCCCCACTGGAGAAACTGAAGGTCTGTTTGCCAGAGAAGTTTCCTACCTTAACCGGAGCTGAGTCAATTTAGAGAGCCAAGCAAAATACAGGGATAGAGGAAGCAGCAGAAAGACCCTGGGAGCTCAGCTGGGTCCCCAAGCAGGCCATTCCTGCCTGGAACCACAGGCATCCAATGGGAGGGCAGCCAGAGGAGCAGGGCAGAGGGGAAAGCATCACAGGGAAAAGGAAATTTCCAGTTGAACTTTGTAATAATTTGAATGGGGTGAGAAGCCTCTTGACCAGAACTCCAGGGAGGGTGTGAATCTGGTGTGCAGACTCCACAGGCAGGGGAAGAACCAAACCCTTTTCTTTCACAGCTGGGAGGCGGGTAGCCTGGGGCAAGTTCTCAAGCCCAGCTAGCCCACTGCCTGGAAACAAACTCAGGGCTGTTGGTGGGGGCACAGTGGGAGTGAGACCAGCCCTTTGGATTGTGTGGGAGCTCAGTGAGGCCAGTGACTGCCAGCTTTCCCCTACTTCTCTGACAACCTGCATGACTCAGCAGAGGCGGCCATAATCCTCCTAGGTACACAACTCCAGTGACCTGGGAATCTCACTCCCATCCCCACAGCAACTGCATCAAGACCCACCCAAGGAGAGCCTGAGCTCAGAAACACCTAGCCCTGCCCCCACTTGATGGTCCTTCCCTATCCACCCTGGTAGCTGAAGACAAAGGTCATATAATCTTGGGTCCTCTTGGGATTGCTGGTTTGTTCTTGCAGTCTCCCCGCTTTTCCTATTGATGTGGTTTCCTATGAGCCAAACTGCAACGATTGTTGTTGTCTCTCTTCTGGGTCTAACCACTCAGCAAGTCTACACATTTCCAGGCTGGTACTGGGGGTTGTCTGCTCAGAGACCTGTGATGTGAACCATCTATGGGTCTCTCAGGAGGTTAGTTATTAAGCTAATCGGGGAGGCACCAGAGAAAGGCAAAGCCCAATGCAAGGAAATCCAAAAAACAATACCAGAAGTGAACGGAGAAATATTCAAGGAAATAGAGAGCTTAAAGAAAAAACAATCAAAAATTCAAGAAACACTGGACCCAATTAGAGAAATGCAAAATGCTCTGGAAAGTCTCAGCGATAGGCTTGAACAAGTAGAAGAAAGAAATTCAGAGAACAAAGACAAGATCTCTGAATTAACCCAATCCAACAAAGACAAAGAAAAAAGAATAAGAATATATGAACAAAGCCTCCAAGAAGTCTGGGATAATGTTAAACAACCAAACTTAAGAATAATCAGTGTTCCTGAGGAAGAAGACAGTTCTAAAAGCTTGGAAAACATATTTGGGAGAATAATTGAGGAAAATTTCCCTGGTCTTACTACAGACCTAGACATACAAATACAAGAAGCACAGAGAACACCTGGAAAATTCATCGCAAAAAGATTATCGCCTAGGCACGCTGTCATCAGGTTATCCAAAGTTAAGGTGAAGGAAAGAATCTTAAGAGCTGTGAGACAGAAGTACCAGGTAAACTATAAAGGGAAACCTATGAGATTAACAGCAGATTTCTCAGCAGAAACCCTACAAGAAAGAAGGGATTGGGGACCTATCTTCAGCCTCCTCAAACAATTATCAGCCAAGAATTTTGTATCCAGTGAAACTAAGCATCATATATGAAGGAAAGATAAAGTCTTTTGCAGACAAACAAATGCTGAGAGAATTCAACAGTACCAAGCCACCACTACAAGAACTGCTAAAAGGAGCTCTAAATCTTGAAACAAATCCTGGAAAATTATCAAAACAGAACCTCTTTAAAGCTTAAATCACACAGGACCTATAAAACAAAAATAAAAGTTAAAAAGCAAAAACAAAAACCAACAAACAAAAGTACACAGGCAACAAATAGCATGATGAACGGAATGGTACCTCACATCTCAATACTAACATTGAATGTAAATTGCCTAAATGCTCCACTTAAAAGATACAGAACAGTAGAAGGGATAAGAACTCACCAACCATCTGCTGCCTTCAGGAGACTCAGCTAACATGTAAGGACTCACATAAACTTAAAGTACAGGGGTTGAAAAAGGCATTTCATGCAAATGGACACCAAAAGCAAGCAGGGGTAGGTATTTTTATATCAGACAAAAGAAGCTTTAAAGCAACAGCAGTTAAAAGAGACAAAGAGGGACATTATATAATGGTAAAAGGCCTTGTCCAACAGGGAAATATCACAATTCTAAACATATATGCACCTAACACTGGAGCTCCCAAATTTATAAAACAATTACTAATGGACCTAAGCAATGAGATAGACAGCAACACGATAATAGTGGGGGATCTCAATACTCCACTGACAGCACTAGACAGGTCATCAGGACAGAAAGTCAACAAAGAAATGATGGATTTAAACTACACCTTGGAACAAATGGACTTAACAGATATATACAGAACATTTCATCCAACAACGGCAAAATATACATTCTATTGAATAGCACATGGAACTTTCTCCAAGATAGACCATATGATAGGCCATAAAACAAGCTTCAGTAAATTTAAGAAAATTGAAATTATATCAAGCACTCTCTCAGACCACAGTGGAATAAAACTGGAAATGAACTCTGAAATGAATCTTCAAAACCATGCAAATACACCTAAATTAAATAACCTGCTCCTGAATGAGCATTGGGTCAAAAACAAAATCAAGATGGAAATTTAAAAATTCTTTGAACTGAACAACAATAATGACACAACCTATCAAAACACCTGGGATACAGCAAAGGCGGTGCTAAGCGGAAAGTTCATAGCCCTAAATGCCTACATCAAAAAGACTGAAAGAGCACACACTGACACTCTAAGGTCACACCTCATGGAACTAGAGAAACAAGAACAAATCAAACCCAGAGCAGAATTAAATGAAATTGAAACAAACAAACAAACAATCTTTTTATATATATATTTTTTATATTTATATAAAAATATATATATTTTTAAAAAATATATTTATAAAAATATATATATTTATATATATTTTTAATATATTTATATATATATATTTCATATATCTATCTCATATATATATATGAGATAAATGAACCAAAAAGCTGGTTCTTTGAAAAGATAAAACTGACAGACCATTAGCAAGACTAACCAAGAAGAGAGAAAATTCAAATAACCTCATTAAGAAACGAAACACGAGATATTACAACTGACACCACTGAAACACAAAAGATCATTCAATGCTACTATGAACACCTTTATGCACATAAACTAGAAAACGTAGAAGAGATGGATAAATTTCTGGAAAAATACAACCCTCCTAGCATAAATTAGGAAGAATTGGATACCGTGAACAGACCAACAACAAACAGCAAGATTGAAATTGTAATTTTAAAATTACCAACAAAAAAAATGTCCAGGACCAGACGGATTCACAGCAGAATTCTACAAGACATTCAAAGAATTGGTACCAATCCTTTTGACACTATTCCATAAGATAGAGAAAGAAGGAACCCTCCATAATTTATTCTATGAAGCCAGCATCACCCTAATACCAAAACCAGGAAAGGACATAACCAAAAAAAAAAACTACAGACTGATATCCTTGATGAACATAGACGCTAAAATCCTTAGCAAGATACTAGCTAACTGAATCCAACAACATATCAAAAAGATAATCCACCATGATCAAGTGGGTTTCATACCAGGGATACAGGGAGGGTTTAACATATGCAAGTCAAAAAACGTGATACACCACATAAACAGAATTAAAAACAACAAAAATCACATGATCATCTCAATAGATGCAGAAAAAACATTTGACGAAATCCAGCATCGCTTTATGATTAAAACTCTCAGCAAAAGTGGCATACAAGGGACATACCTCAATGTAATAAAAGGTATCTATGACAAACCCATGGCCAAATTTATATTGAATAAGGAAAAGTTGAAAGCATTCCCTCTGAGAACTGGAACAAGGCAAGGATGTCCACTCTCACCACTCCTTTTCGACATAGTACTGGAAGTCCTAGCCAGAGCAATCAGACAAAAGAAAGAAATAAAAGGGATCCAAATTGGTAAAGAGGAAGTCAAACTGTCACTGTTTGCTGACGATATGATCATCTACCTTGAAAACCCTAAAGACTCCTCCAGAAAGCTCATACAACTGATAAAGAAATCAGCAAAGTTTCCAGATACAAGAATAATGTACACAAATCAGTAGTAGTTCTATACACCAACAGCAACCAAGTGGAGAATCAAATCAATAACTCAACCCCTTTTACAATAGCTGCAAAAAAAAAAAAAAAATACTTAGGAATATATCTTAACAAAGGCGTCAAAAGACCTCTACAAGGAAAACTATGGAACCCTGCTGAAAGAAATCAGAGATGACACAAAAAAATGGAAACACATCCCATGCTCATGGATGGGTAGAATCAATATTGTGAAAATGACCATACCGCCAAAAGCAATCTAAAAATTCAATGCAATCCCCATCATAATACCACCATCATTCCTCACAGAATTAGAAAAAAAGCAATTCTGAAATTCATATGGAATCAAAAAAGAGCCCGCAGAGCCAAAGCAAAACTAAACAAAAAGAACAAACCTGGAGGCATCACACTATCTGATTTCAAACTATACTATAAGGCCATAGTCACCAAAACAGCATGGTACTGGTATAAAAATAGGCACATAGACCAATGGAACAGAATAGAGAACTCAGAAATAAACTCAAATATTTACAGCCAATTGACCTTGGACAAAGCAAACAAAAACATGAAGGGAAAGTACACCCTTTTCAACAGATGGTGCTGAGATAATTGGCTAGCCACATGCAGGAAAATGAAACTGGATCCTCACCTTTCACCTTATACAAAAATCAACTCAAGATGGATTAAGGATTTAAATCTAAGACCTGAAACTAAAAATTCTAGAAGATAACATTGGAAAAACCTTGAAGACATTGGCTTAGGCAAGGATTTCATGATCAAGAACCCAAAAGCAAATGCAATAAAAACAAAGATAAATAGTTGGGACTTAATGAAACTAAAGACTTTTGCAAGGCAAAAGAAACAGCAGAGTAAACAGAGAATCCACAGAGTGGGAGAAAATCTTCGCAATCTATACATCTGACAAAGGACTAATAATCAGAATCTACAACGAACTCAAATCAGTAAGAAAAAAAACAAACAATCCCATCAAAAAGTGGGCTAAGGACGTGAATAGACAATTCTCAAGAGAAGATATACAAATGGCCAACAAACATATGACAAAATGCTCAACATCACTAATGATCAGAGAAATGCAAATCAAAACTACAATGCGATACCACCTTACTCCTGCAAGAATGGCCATAATCAAAAAAATAAAAAAATGGTAGATGTTGGCATGGATGCAGTGATCAGGGAACACTTCTATACTGCTGGTGGGAATGTAAACTAATACAGCTGCTATAAAAACTGTGGAGATTCCTTAAAGAACTAAAAGTAGAACTATCATTTGATCCAGCAATCCCACTACTGGGTATCTACCCAGAAGAAAAGAAGTCAATATACGAAAAAGATAATGTGCATGCATGTTTATAGCAGCACAATTCACAATTGCAAAATCATGGAACCAACCCAAATGCCCATCAATCAATGAGTGGATAAAGAAACTGTGGTGTGTGTGTGTATGTGTGTGTCTGTGTGTGTGTGTATACATATACACACATATATACATATACATATGTGTATATATACACACATATATACATATACATATGTGTATATATACACATATATAAATATATGATGGAATACTACTCAGCCATGAAAAGGAATGAATTGACAGCATTTGCAGTGACATGGAGGAGATTGGAGACTATTACTCTAAGTGAAGTAACTCAGGAATGGGAAGCCAAACATTGTATGTTCTCACTAATAAGTGGGAGCTAAGCCATAAGGGTGCCAAGCATAAGAAAGATACAATGGACTCTGGGGACTTGGGAGGAAGAGTGGGAGGCAGAGGGGTAAAAGACTACAAATATGGTGCAGTGTATACTGTTCAGGTGATGGATGCACCAAAATCTCACAAATCACCACTAAAGAACTTACTCATGTAACCAAATACCATCTGTACTCCAATAACTTATGGAAAAATAAAAAAAATAAAATTTAAAAAGCACCACAGAACTAAACTTCAAAAAAATTAATAAATAAAATAAAGTTGGAAATAGCAATGTAAAATGGAAGTTGTTTATTAGACAGCGAAAAAAAAAAAGCCAAGATCCTTTTTTGTGTTTGATAGGTGATTGAATAATTTTGGAATTTTTAGAAGATTTTATAACTAAGTATATGTACTAAAAATTAAAGGTAAATAATAAAATAAAAGTAAAATTTAATACAGATACAAAGAATGGCTTTAAATTATTACAAGATGGGGGAAAAGAAAATATATAACCTTTATCAAACTAATGCAAGTCAGAAAAAGGAGGGAAGAAAAGGAAGAAAAAAGGAAAAATAAATGAGACAAATCCAAATATATCAGAATAAATGTAAACAAAGTAAATCCATGATCAGATTATCAGATTGCATTAAATATTCAAAACCCAATTTAAAACAGAATCAGAAAGACAAAAAATAAAAGAATAGAAAAAAATTATGCAGCAAATCCTAATTAAACCTAATTAACTATAACTATTGGCTAACTATAATATATTTTCTAACTATATTATAAAATCATTGAAGTATTAT
This sequence comes from Homo sapiens, assembly GCF_000001405.40. Classification (NCBI taxonomy): domain Eukaryota; kingdom Metazoa; phylum Chordata; class Mammalia; order Primates; family Hominidae; genus Homo; species Homo sapiens. The sequence goes on along the minus strand of NC_000006.12, from coordinate 8,596,267 downwards.
TTGAAGTCAGACAAATTAATAAACAAGTAATATTACAGCAAAACAAGTAATATTACATTACTAGAAAAAACAATATTATATACTTCATGCATTTAACAACTTGACTTTTAAAAACATTAAAAAAACTAATAGAATTGTTTAAAAAATCACAAAAAAATCATTGTTTGGATAGTTTATTTGTCTCAGAAACAGAAAAAAATTTATTAAAAAATAAGAGGATTTGCAGAACAAAATCATAAACCTGATAATATATGATTTCTCTGTGATAAAAATGTATAATTTATATTTAAATATTCTGAATTAATCATTAAAATATGCGTTAGTATCAAGCCCATATGGAACATTTATAAAATATTTGACCCACATAGTGGGTCTTAAATTAAAACATAAATTTTTTTAAAAAACCAGTATCACAAAGGTCATATTCTCAGAAAAAGAAACACAAAATAGAATTCAACAATAAATAAGGTTCGTCATTTACTTGGAAATTTAGACAGGGATGTTTAAATAACTCATTAGCTTAAAAAAACACAATAAAAATTATAAAACACACTTGAAATAAATAAAACCAAACAATGAAAGTAACATGAAAATGATAAAAGTAACATATTTAAAACTGTAGAATGTAGCAAAAGTAATACCTAGTATTAAATTTGTGGTCTTAAAAGTGTTCATTTAAAAACAAAAAGAAAAACTGAGGGAAAAGAGTAGTAAAATGTTTAGGTCAAAAGCTAAAAAAAGAGTACGGGAAAATGTAAACCTTAGGAACAAATGGTAAATACAGTGTTAGAGTCAAAATGAATTTAATAGATCACTAATAAGCAACAGATCACCCAGAAAACCCTTAGTTGCCTTATGTAAACTTGTTATCAATCGAGAAGAAAGTTTACATCAATCTCACACATAAACAGAAATGCAAAAAAATACAAAATAAAATGTTAGCCCAACAACATCAGCAGCAGAAGTATACAATATACAGTACTGTACACACATCTAGACACACACATATTTTGGTGTAAGAAAGTTGGTTTTAAAATCAGCGGGCTGAATCTGAGTTCCAGACTATCCACTTACTAGATAAGTATCCTTGAGTTTAGTGTTTAAGGTATCTGTTCTGTTCATGTAATTTTAATAGAAAACATTGACATAGCTACACTCCAGATGGTTCTGAATTTACTCAAAATTATGAAAATCAAACATTTCTCTTTTTTTGAGAAAGGGTCTTGCTCTTTTGCCCAGGTTGGAGCGCAGTGGTGCTATCTTGGCTTACTGCAGCCTTGACCTCCCAGGCTCAAGTGATCCTCCCACTTCAGCTTTCCGAGTAGCTGGGACTAGAGGTGCACACCACCATGCCTGGCAAATTCTCTTTTTTTTGGGCAGGGAGACTTTTTTTTTTTTTTTTTTTTTTTTTTTTTTGTAGAGATGGGGTTTCACTGTGTTGCCCAGACTGGTCTCAAACTCCTGTACTCAAATGATCGGCCTCCCAAAGTGTTGGGATTACAAGCGTGAGCCACCACGCCCTGCAAAAATCAAACTTTTAATGGAATATTTTAGTGGACAAAACATCACCTTTGAAGCTATTTTTTTGTCCCAAAAAGTGTTAATGCTGTAGTATTTTTGTTGAGTAAAAGTAAATATTAACTAAAATAATTTTAAAGTATAAACATATTCCAAGGTTGGCAACTGAATGCTGTTTTGATTTTGTTTTGTTAAAAACAATGTTTTTGTGGTGGTGGTTTTCTTCGTGTAAGTTAAACATTAAAAAAATACTGCTTATCATGACTTTACTTTTTTACTGATACATAATTGTTCATGTTTGTGGGGTACAAGTGATATTTTGATACATGCATACAATGTGTAATGATCAAATGAGCATAATTTGATATCCATCACCTCAAATATTAATCAATCATTGCTTTGTGTTGGGAACATTCCAAATCCACTCTTCTAGCTATTTTGAAATATATAATAAATTATTGTTAACTACTGTCACCCTACTGTGCTATCAAACACTAAAACTTATTCCTTCTATCAAACTGTATTTTTGCACCCATTAACCAACCTCTCTTCATTCTCTCTTCCCCCTACCCTTCTCAACCTCTGGTAACCATTATTCTACTCTCTACCTTCATGAGATCAACATTTTTAGCTCCCACATCTAAATGAGAACATGTGATAATTTATCTTTCTGTTCTTGACTTATTTCACGTAACAGAATGTCCCCCAGTTCCATCTGTGTTGCTGCAAATGATAGAATTTTTTATGGCTGAATAATATTCCATTGTGTATATATATCACATTTGCTTATCCATTCATCTGCTGATGGACACTTAAGAAGGTTCTATATCTTAGCTATTGTGAATTGTGCTGCAAGAAACATGTGAGTACAGATATCTCTTCAGTATACTGATTTCCTTTCTTTTGACACTGTACCACGCAATAGGATTGCTGGATCATACAGTAGCTCTATTTTTAGTTTTTTGAGAAACCTTCACCCTGTTTTCCATAGTGGCTGTACTAAGTCACATTCCTACAGTGTAGTAACATTCCCATTTCTCCAAACCCTCATCAGAATTTTTTTTGTCTTTTTTATAGTGGCCATTTTAACTAGGATGAGATGATATCTCACTGTGGTTTTACTTTGCGTTTTCCTGATAATTATTGAAGTCGTGCATTTTTCATATACCTGTTGGCATTTGAATGTCTTCTTTTGAAAAATGTCTATTCATACTTTTGTCCATTTTTTTAAAAATTCTGATTATTTGTGTTTTGGCTATTAAGTTGTTTGAGTTCCTTATACATTCTGGTTATTAATCTCCTGTCAGATAGACAGTTTGCAAATATTTTCTCCCATTCTGTCAGTTGTCTGTCCATTCTGTTTACTGTTTCCTTTGTTGTATAAAAACTTTTTAGCTTGAGGCAATCCCATTTGTCAATTCTTGCTTTTGTTGCCTGTGCTTTTGAGGTCCCACCCAGAAAGTCTTTTCCCAGACCAATGTCCTGAAGCATTTCCCCAGTGTTTTCTTCTAGGTTTTTTATAGTTTTGGGTTTTGCACTTAAATCTTTAATCCATTTTTATTTGATTTTTATATGGTAAGAGATAGGGGTCTAGTTTCATTCTTCTGCTTATGGATATTTAGTTTTCCCAGAACCATCTATTGAAGGGATTGTCCTTATCCCAATAAAATTTCATGGTGCCCTTGTCAAAAATGAGTTGGCTATAAATGTGTAGATTTATTTCTGGGTTCTCTATTCTGTTCCATTAATCTATGTGTCTGTTTTTATGCCAGCACCATGCTGTTTTGGTTACTATAGCTTTGTAGTATGTTTTGAAGTCTGGTAATGTGATCCCTCTACCTTTGTTCTTTGTGCTCAGGATACTTTGGCTATTTGGGGTCTTTTGTGATTCCATACAAACTTTATGATTGTTTTTTTCTATTCCTTTGAAGATTGTCTTTGGTGTTTTGATGAAGATTGCATTGAATCTGGAGATCATTTGGGGTAGTATGGACATTTTACACAATATTATTTCTTCCAATACATTAGCATAGGATATCTTTCCATTTTTTTGTGTGTCTTCTTCAATTTCTTTCATCAGTGTTTTATAGTTTAATTGCAGAGATCTTTCACTTCTTTGGTTAAATTTATTCCTAAGTATTTTAAGTTTTTTGTAGCTACTGTAAATAAGACTGCTTTCTTACTTTCTTTTTCAGATTATTTGCTGTTGCTGCATAAGAATGCTACTGGTGTATAGAAATGTTGCTGATTTTTGCATGTTGATTTTGTACCCTGCAATTTTACCGAATTTTTTTATCAGTTCTGACAGGTTTTTGCTTAAGTCTTTAGGTTTTTCTAAATATTGGATTAGTCTTGACATTTCTGATTGTGAACTGCTTCTTGGTACCCTGAGGGGTCAGAATCAAGCACAGCGTAGAAATTCACAAACTCCACCCACTGCATCCAAATGTTACTTATGCAGCGATATACAGTGTCTGCTCTCACGTGGTCTGAGTCCTCCACCAAGGTCTTGATCCTGTAACTCATGAAGGCAATTAAGGTAGAGTCATTATCAGGACAATCCAGCCCTCAAAATGAAACCATCTCCCTTATCTCATCAATGCCATGATGCTGGAAGAGACCTTAAAGATTATAATCAACCCTCTTGGATATTTGAAAGCCACAAATTTAGTGGTTCAGGTACCAGAGAAAATTAGAATTAATGAACATGTCCATAAAAACATATCAATTTCCAGCCAGCTGCCAGAAGTTGGCATGCTGGCACTGTGCCTGCAGCCCACCCCTGCAAAGTGTCCCTTCACCTGCCAGTGGAAAATCCAACACTTACAGTTACCAAAACAAAAGTACTGTAACTTGCCTTTTAAGGCAAATTTTTACAGGTATAATGTATTCTATTAAAACATCGCCACCTTAGAACACCTGGAGACTCTGTAGAAAGTTGGCAATAGTTTTGTAAGGAATCTAAGAGTTACAGTTCTGGGATTTCCTCCTATCTTCTCCTTTGGTCTATTTCCCATCCACCAAAATAGACCTTGTACTTTACATATTTATTTGTGTAAGACGATCAGACCATTTCTTACACACCTGAATACACATGGGGGTGGAGAGAAGGCAAGAATTTCTCCTTCAGAGCAAAAGATGGCATCCTCTCTTGCCATGAGATATGCTGAACTCAAATTTCTTCTTGGAACAACAATAGTAATTAATGTGGATCTGATTATCCCAACTAATGATGAAAGTCAGCTTTGTCGCTATTATATAGAATTTATTTAAGGATCAACATTATTTTATTACAGACCATACGTAAAAGGACAAGTATAATAAAATCTGTAAGATCATATAAGGAAAAAATCATATTCCTCTCTACACAATTTGCTTTGTCTTCAATATCTTTGTTTTTTTTTTCAATCTTCCTCAGAAGGACTACTGATTGAATTAAACCCAAACATTAGAAAACAACACCATAGTAATTGTTAATACTGAAGTTGAAATATCCTAAGAGAAAACAACCTTTGGGTTTTCAGTATTTTCTTACTGTTTTTGTGGTGGTGGAGGTGGTGATGGTGTAAGTATTTTTAGTTGACTGGAGAGAAAGGAGAGATAAAAGGAAAAACATTCTTGGGTTTTAAAAAATTAATATTATCAATGTAATTATGGTAAAGACCATATTTTGAGAGAGGTTTCTAAGCAATTGAATATATATTATATATTATATATTTGTTACATGTTATATATTATATATATATAGTTTGGTATTTTAGGCTTTTATCTGATCAAATGATGCTTCTTTTGGAAAGATAAAATTGAACCATATATTTATAAATATATATTTCTATTATATATATTTATATATTTATAACCATATATATATATATATATGGTTCAATTTTATCTTTCCAAAAGAAATATCATTTGATCAGGTAAAAGGCTAAAATACCAAATTGGGAAGCAGAAATTTCAGCTGCCTATCTGGCCACCAAGGTGTACATTTTTAAATGCCACAGGGGTGCAGCTTCTTTGTAAAATCTAGCTCCCAACCACCTATGAAACATCTTTGGATGTATTAGAGAAATATTTTAAAGGGAGAGATGCAGAAACCAAAGAGCTCAAAAGAATCAGTGCTGCAGCCCCAGCCCTGAGACGTTTCCTAGGTGCAGTTCATTCCTAGGTCTCAGGAGGGCTCCAGAGAGAATTTGCATCTCCCCCAACCTCTGGGCCCCCAAGCCCCGCCCGCAGCAAGTCTATGTCAGAGTAAAATGGATTGGTGTGTGTGTGTGTTTGTGTGTGTGTGTGTGTGTGTGTGTGTGTACGTGTGTAGGTAAAGATGAAAAGGTACACTTTAATTACTCTACTGCAATAAGTACAAGAAAGCTTCAAAGAAATACTGAAACATGCTGGCAGACAGCCAAAAATATTTAATGGTTAGCAGGGTGACTGGAGTCTTGCTGCCTTATTCTTAATAATAGTTTAAAGAACTCTGCTCTCCTCCCTGTCACTGAAACCTCTACCCATTTGCACATCATTCCTCTTTCCATCCATAGAACACCAGCCAGCCCTCACCCGATCCCAGGCCCTGCCCTGATGGAGGGGAACTAAGGAAATGCAACTTCAGCTGAGGGGTTCCTTTTTAATTGGTCACGGTCACGCTATTCAAATAGGAAGAAATCTGCAACCCATTAGACCTTTTCCTCCTGCATTAATAGTCAGGGAAAAAATTATATTTTGTAGCCACTTCTATTATTGTTTTCTTTTCTGGTTGGGAAACATTCTCAAAGGGCTGTGCCTGGATAGCAGCATGTAGAGTCAATTAGATGGTGAAAAAAGAAAATAACTAAAGGAGTGAGCAGATTTCTCCTGCAAATAGAATAGGAGAGATAGGAGAGAGAAAATAGGAGAGAGGAAGGTGGCAAGAGAAAAAGGGGACAAGGAATTTGGCGTACGTGGTAACATGAAGTAATTTGCCACAGACTGGTCAGTTCAATAAAATTGCTCTCAAATAACCAACCATGTGTTTTTGAAACATTTCAAATTGATCACAGTAGGTACCCACCATTGTAATCCTTATCGACCTACCCTTGACTTTCATTCCTTCTGGAAAGAAAAGTTGAATCAAATTTCCTGTTCGAAATCACACGGCTGCTCTTGGAACATCTGAGAATTTAAACCTTTTAATATGCAGGTCACAGAAATAGCTACACAATCACGTGCGTTTTCACAGTAGTTTGGACAGAATCAAGTAACCATATTAGATGCAGGGAATATTTAAAATATGTGCTTCTGCCATTGGCAGTTTACCTACTTCACTTCCTCCCAAAAATAATATTTTATGACCTAGCATTTTCAAAACTTGCATAAATTGCAGGATTTTAGAACTGAAAGCAGCCTTATATAGCATTTAATTAAATTTCTTCAATTTCCAGATGAGGATACTAGGCCTGAGGAGATGAGGTGACTTCATCCAAGGTAACAGCTAACTACTAACAGAGTGGGAATTGGGCTATGATCAATTTTTTCTTCTTAAAACACTGGTAATAAAAAAATCGAGAAACATATGTTTGTTTCCACAACTATCTCTATATTCAATTTCCAAATTTAACAGAACTATAACATGCTCTAAATAGCTGAAATTCAATAATAGGTTTTCTATATTTATTTTATATATTAATGTGTTTGTACTTGTACTTATTCACATACTTTTATAACACTAAAAGGCAAATTTATACATGTGACTCAAGTCTCAGTCTTAGAATAAGAAAGGAGATTTAAAGGCAAGATTTTTCCTTGCAGTATATTGTAGGGTATTAAGTAACTTCATGATCTAAGATTCATTCTTTTTCTCCTTTAAATTGTTTTAACACTATCATGACACTTCTAATAACCATTCTTCTGTTTCAAAAATAGAAATAGCCTTTTCTGTAAAGTGTCAGGTAATCGTGAGAGTGGTATTATTTTTTCATGATTATTTACATTTATGACAGTGACATATTATGACTAACAGCAGAGAAGGAACTAAAAAACTTTTAAATATGTCACTTTCATGAATATAGCACTTTATGGTTTCCAAAACATTTTCACTTTCTTAACAAACTGAGAATCCAAGTAAATGGCATTGGCACTTGAATTCTGGTCTTTTAAAAATAATCCTACTCACAGAAATGTGAAGACAGTCAATTTATGAAAAAACTATTTTTAAAGTAACTTACAAACACACACAGTAAGTATCTGTTGTTTTCTGCTCTCTGGCTATCCTTCTTTTTGGTAATAGTACTTTGACTTAGCCCTTCTCTGTTCTTGTGATTCTGGACATCTAAACCCCTTCCCCAACCACCACTACCATCCTCACCCTTATCTCTCACCAACCATATGGAATCATAAGCCACACCCAGCCAAGAAATTCCATCCCCTCTCAACAGGGACTGCTTTGGTGACAGGCACTGAATAAAGTCTTAGCAGTAAGATTGAATCCTGGTGTGCTGCTGGATTTTGTTTGCCAGTATTTTATTGAGGATTTTCGCACTGATGGAATATTGGCCTGAAATTTTTTTTTGTTGTTGTGTCTCTGCCAGGTTTTGGTATCAGGATGATTCTGGCATCATAAAATGAGTTAAGGAAGAGTCCTTCTTTTTCTATTGTTTAGAATAGTTTCAGAAGGAATGGTACCAGCTCCTCTTTGTACCTCTGGTAGAATTCGGCTGTGAATCTGTCTGGTCCTGGGCTTTTTTTGGTTGGTAGGCTATTAATCACTGCCTCAATTTCAGAACTTGTTATTGGTCTATTCAGGGATTCGACTTCTTCCTAGTTTAGACTTGGGAGGGTATATGAGTCCAGGAATTTATCCATTTCTTCTAGATTTTCTAGTTTATTTGCGTAGAGGTGTTTATAGTATTCTCTGACGGTTAGTTCATATTTCTGTGGGATCAGTGGTGATATCCCTTTTTTCATTTTGTATTGTGTCCACTTGATTCTTCTCTTTTTTCTTCTTTATTAAACTGGCTAGCAGTCTATTTTCTTGATCTTTTCAAAAAAAAACAGCTCCTGGATTCATTGATTTTTTTAACTTCTTTTGTGTCTCTATCTCCTTCAGTTCTGCTCTGATCTTAGTTATTTCTTGTCTTCTACTAGCTTTTGAATTTGTTTGCTCTTGCTTCTCTAGTTCTCTTAATTGTAATGTTAGGATGTCGATTTTAGATCTTTCTCACTTTCTCCTGTGGGCATTTAGTGCTACAAATTTTCCTCTAAACACTGATTTAGCTGTGTCCCAGATATTCTGGTATGTTGTGTCTTTGTTCTCATTGGTTTCAAAGAACTTATTTATTTCTGCCTCAGTTTTGTTATTTACCTAGTAGTCATTCAGGAGCAGGTTGTTCAGTTTCCATTTAGTTGTGCAGTTTTGAGTGAGTATCTTGATTCTGAGTTCTAATTTGATAGCAAGGTGGTCAGAGAGAATGTTTGTTATGATTTCCGTTCTTTTGCATTTGCTGAGGAGTGTTTTACTTCTAATTATGTGGTTGATTTTAGAATAAGTGCTATGTGGTGCTGAGAAGAATGTATATTCTGTTGATTTGGGGTGGAGAGTTCTGTAGATGTCTATTAGGTCCACTTGGTCCAGAGCTGAGTTTAAGTCCTGAATATCCTTTTTAATTTTCTGTCTCATTGATCTAATATTGACAGTGGGGTGTTAAAATCTCCCACTATTATTGTGTGGGAGTCTAAGTCTCTTTGTAGGTCTCTAAGAACTTGCTTTATGAATCTCGGTGCTCCTGTATTGGGTGCACATATATTTAGGATAGTAGCTCTTCTTGTTACATTGATCCCTTTATCATTATGTAATGCCCTTCTTTGTCTTTTTTGATCTTTGTTCGTTTAGAGTCTGTTTTATCAGAGACTAGGATTGCAACCCCTGCTTTTCTTTTTCTTTCTTTCCATTTGCTTGGTAAATATTCCTCCATCCCTTTATTTTGAGCCTATGTGTGTCTTTGCACGTGAGATAGGTCTCCTGAATACAACACACCGATGGGTCTTGACTCTTTATCCAATTTGCTGGTCCGTGTCTTTCAATTGGGACATTTAGCCCATACATATTTAAGGTTAATATTATTATATGTGAATTTGATCCTGTCATTATGATGCTAGCTGGTTATTTTGTCCATTAGTTGATGCAGTTTCCTCAGAGTGTCAATGGTCTTTAGAATTTGGTATGTTTTTGCAGCGCCTGGTAGCGGTTTTTCCTTTTCATATTTAGTGCTTCCTTCAGGAGCTCTTGTAAGGTATGCCTGGTGGTCACAAAATCTCTCAGCATTTGCTTGTCTATAAAGGATGTTATTTTTCCTTTGCTTATGAAGCTTAGTTTGGCTGGATATGAAATTCTGGGTTGAAAATTATTTTCTTTAAGAATGTTGAATATGGGTCCCCTCTCTCTTCTGGCTCATAAGGTTTCTGCAGAGAGATCTACTTTAGTCTGATGGGCTTCCCTTTATGGGTAACCCACCCTTTCTCTCTGGCTGCCCTTAACATTTTTTCCTTCATTTCAACCTTGGTGAATCTGATGATTATGTGTCTTGGGGTTGCTCTTCTCAAGGAGTATCTTTGTGGTGTTCTCTGTATTTCCTGAATTTGAATGTTGGCCTGTCTTGCTAGGTTGGGGAAGTTCTCCTGAATAATATTGTGAAGAGTGTTTTCCAACTTGGTTCCATTCTCCCCACCACTTTCAGGTACACCAGTCAAACGCAGGTTTGGTCTTTACAACTTACAAGTGATGTGAAGGACCTCTTCAAGGGGAACTACAAACCACTGCTCAAGGAAATAGGAGAGGACACAAACAAATGGAAAACCATTCCATGCTTATGGATAGGAAGAATCAATATCATGAAAATAGCCATACTGCCCAAAGTAATTTATAGATTCAATGCTATCCTTATCAAGCTACCATTGACTTTCTTCACAGAGTTAGAAAAAACTACTTTAAATTTTATATGGAACCGAAAAAAGAGCCCATATAGCCAAGATAATCCTAAGCAAAAACAACAAAGCAGGAGGCAGCACGATACCTTACCTCAAACTATACTACAGGATAAATTAACCAAAACAGCATGGTACTGGTACCAAAACAGATATAGAGACCAAGGGAACAGAACAGAGGCCTCAAAAATAATGTCACACATCTACAACCATCTGATCTTTGACAAACCTGGCAAAAACAAGCAATGGGGAAAGGGTTCCCTTTTTAATAAATGGTGTTGGGAAAACTGGCTAGCCATATGCAGAAAACTGAAACTGGACCGCTTCCTTATACTTTATACAAAAATTAACTCAAGGTGGATTAAACACTTAAACGTAAGACCTAAAACCATAAAAATCCTAGAAGAAAACCTAGGCAATATCATTCAGGACAGAGGCATGGGCAAAGACTTCGTGACTAAAACACCAAAAGCAATGGCAGCAAAAGCCAAAATTGACAAATGGGATCTAATTAAACTAAGGAGCTTCCACACAGCAAAAGAAACTGTCATCAGAGTGAACAGGCAACCTATAGAAAATTTTTGCAATCTATCCATCTGACAAAGGGCTAATATCCAGAATCTACAAAGAACTTAAACAAATTTGTAAGAATAAAACAATCAAAAAGTGGGCAAAGGACATGCATAGACATTTCTCAAAAGAAGACATTTATGCGGCCAAGAAACATGTGGGAAAAAAGCTCATCATCACTGGTCGTTAGAGAAATGCAAATCAAAACCACAATGAGGTACCATCTCACACCAGTTAGAATTAAAAAGTTAGGAAACAACAGATGCTGGAGAGGATGTGGAGAAATAGGAATGCTTTTACACTGTTGGTGGGAGTGTAAATTAGTTCAACCATTGTGGAAGACAGTGTGGTGATTCCTCAAGGATCTAGAACCAGAAATACCATTTGACCCAGCAATCCCATTATTGAGTATATACCCAAAGGATTATAAATCATTCTACTCTAAAGACACATGAACACGTATGTTTACTGCAGCACTATTCATGAAAGCAAAAACCTGGAGCCAACCCAAATGCCCATCAATGATAGACTGGATAAGGAAAATGTGGCACAGATACACCATGGAATACTATACAGCCATAAAAAAGGATTAGTTCATGTCCTTTGCAGGGACATGGATGAAGCTGGAAACCATCATTCTCAGCAAACTAGCACAGGAACAGAAAACCCAACACCACATGTTCTCACCCGTAAGTGGGAGTTGAACAATGAGAACACATGGACGCAGGGAGAGGAACATCACACACTGGGGCCTGTTTGGGGTGGGGTGCTAGGGGAGGGAGAGCATTAGGAGAAATACCTAATGTAGATGACAGGTTGATGGGTGCAGCAAACCACTGTGACACGTGTATATCTATGTAACCCCAAACCTGCACGTTCTGCACATGTATCCCAGAACTTAAAGTATAATAAAAAATAAATGCACACACACACACACACACACACACACACACACACACACACACACACACACGATTGAATCCTGGAACTATCAATGGCCTGTCAAGGAAATTTTTTGTTTCTGCTAAGAATTACTAAGCTTGGAGTATGTGAATTAAGAGCAGCCATGTTGCTAGTTTATCAGGAGAGCCTGCCTGAAAAGATGAAACCACACAGAAGCCAGTGTAACCGAGAGATCACTACCGATACTTTTACTATTACCCACGTCTTTGGATCTAGTAAAGCCTGAATTCAGAGTAGTCCCTGACAATTCAGTGACAGGTGCCAGTGAGTCCCCCCACTACCTTCCCACCCTGGTTTCACTTGTTTTTTGCTTCAACCAGCGTAAGTTGGGTTTTATTCCCTTGCAGCTAAAAGACTTCTAACTCATATCAAAGAACAGAGGCTCAAACTAGAAAATGGCAGGAGTCCTTAACTTTGTCCCTTGAGCTAATTTCATCCATTTAACTAGAAGTAGCAAATGAAGATTTAAGCAACCAGGACTTCAAATTCTGAACTTAACGTTTTCTTAATCTAAACACTGCCATCGTTCATAGCCTACTTTGGGCTCACTTCCTGGGATGGTGTTCGAGTTCTTGAGAATCCCAGACAATCCTTAAAAATATACATGAACAGAAACTGAACAATATTTTCAATTCCTCTTCTTCCTTATTAGCAGATTGGCTGGCCCAAGCAGAAGCATGAGAAGACAGGCCTGGTTAAATGGAATCTGTCAAGCTGGCAACCAAGGCCACAAAGACTTAACTGTTTTACCCAACTAGGAGGACTTGAGAGCTGTTATAATGCTGATGTCAGGAAATATGAGTATTTTGATCATAACATTTTAGGGTTTTAAAATAAAATTATGTTTGAAAAAAGGACAGAATTCATGTATAACTAAGTTCATAATTTTAGCAAGCTGGTTTATAATGATATTTTAATATATCTAATGTAAATAATTACTTTAATTCTAGTAATGCATAGTGCTACAGTTCTTCCACATCTTCTCAAGTATCTGGACATTGAAATTTTTCATAATTCAAGACATTGTTGTTTTTCTTACCCCCTCCTCATCACCCTTTGGAGAAGTACATTTAAAAGTCACTGTTCTGGCCAGATGCAGTTGCTCACACCAGTCATTCCAGCACTTTGGGAGGCCAAGGCAGTATGAGACCAGGAGTATTGAGCCCAGGAGTATGAGACCAGCCTGGGCAACAAAATGAGATCCTAAGAACTAAAAAAATTAGCCGGAAATGATGGTGTGGGCCTGTAGTCCTAGCTACTCAGGAGGCTGAGGTGGGAGGATGGCTCAAGATGGAGGCTACAGTGAGCCAAGGTTGTGCCACTGCACTCCAGCCTGGGTGACAGAGCAAGACCCTGTCTCAAAAAATGAACAACAATAAAAAAAGACACTGCTCTGGGATACCATATCAAAATGTAATTTAATATTTTTTTAGAAGATTGAGTAGGGAAAGTGGCACACCAGATAGTAAACCTAACAAATATTAATATCACAGATATGACTTATATAGTCTGCTACATGCTATAATATTTTGAATGTTTCTGAGAACAAAAGTTTAGGATCATAGTAAGGTTGATTCTATAAGAACTCATAAAATGCAAAAATGATCTTAAAGAGAGGCTTTCACCTTGTTTTAAATAACTTTAGCTCACCTGCATTGCTTATGAAAAGGCACTAATTAATTATATTAAAGTGTTATAATATCTTATATTTATATAGCTCTTCCTAGTTTAGAAATGATCTCAACCCAGCAACCCTATAAAATAGGTCAAAGAGAATTACCCCTTCTCTACTGAATGAGAAAAAGAGGCTCAATCAGGCAGCTGGTAAATGCCTAACCTGGATTCTAAGTTGGTTCATACCTTTGGATTGGGTACCAGAAAGCACCCAATCAGGAGCATTTCCTACTTGAGCATTGATCTAGGGTATTCTCTGCTTAGCCTCCAACATCATGATCAAGTGGCCAAACGTAGGTCCAGGTGTCAATACTAAAATCCTACCGTGAGCCTTGAGAAAGAAGAAATTCATTTACAAAAGCCAAAAGAATGCCAAGAAGAAGATCGGCTCCATGTAGGCGCTAAGGTATCACCTGTCTTGGTTTCCTTTCAGATACCCAAATTCTATCTTGCTCAAACACTATTTTCCAATGAATGAACAAATCTACCCAATTTAATTAATCAGTAAAATCTAGCAAATGCTTGAGTCAATAGTTTCTACGTACATTATTTTGAGACCATAGATTAATTGGTCTCAAAATAATGTATGTATAAACTTTTGACCCAAGCATTTGCCAGATTTTACTGATTAATTAACAATTAATAGTAACACAGATACTATTTTTAATGAATAACCAAAACTGCCTCACCAGGACTAGGTGAAATGTGGTCATGAGTTGCCAGACACAGGTCTCAGTCATAGTCTCAGTGTTCTTATGTGTAAACCTGTTCGCCACAAAGATATCATCTTTTGTATTTAATCAAATCTTCAAAAATATACTGGCTATAGAAGAAGCACCTTTACCTCTTTGTAAGAGGTCAATGAGCTCAGGGTCACAACTTGACCCTGATTTTCCTAATAACCACAGCCTCACTGACGACACTTAACCTGTCTTTCAAGTCTTTCAACCACTCTTCTTTGCTGCTTGGGTCCTGGTGATCCTTCTAGTGCAGACTTCTCTTTCAAGCTAATGATTCCTTCGGTTTCTTTCAGTACCCTGGGAGGTTCCATTTATTCTGGCTTCACAGTTTTGTATAGGTAGACACAGCTTGAGTAAACTTCTTATTTACCTTTTCCAAATGTAATGGAGGAAAAAACATACTGGAAAAACTCATCTTCTTCTTTCTCATAATAGTCTACTAGCCTAACCTACCCTTATCTCCACTCCTACTCAAGAATTTAGGCTATTGGCCGGGTGCAGTGGTTCACAATTGTAATCCCACAATTTGGAAGGCCTAGCGAGTGGATCACCTAAGGTCAGGAGTTCAAGACTAGCTTGGCCAACATGGCAAAACCCCGTCTCTACTAAAAATACAAAAATTAGCTGGCCATGGTGGTGCACACATGTAGTCCCAGCTACTCGGGAGTCTGAGACAAGAGAATTGCTTAAGCCCAGGAGGCAGAGGTTGCTGTGAGCCGAGACCGTGCCACTGCCTGAGTGCCTGAGTGACAGAGCAAGACTCTGTCTAAAAAAAAAAAAAGAAGAATTTAGGCTATTATGTATATGTTCTATGCTCCTCACCTTATTTATTTCTGGCTCTATATTTTTTTAAAGGCCCTCAGAAAAATACTAAGAACTCTAGGAAGAAATATCATCCATTACAGCAGGGGATTTGAGGAGAATGAGAGTCTGCTCTGATTCCAAATTCACAAATAATAAAATTGGGTTATATTTCAGAGTTTAGATGGGAAATGTGACAGAAGATATTTTGGTGAGTTGTAGAGAGAATCCCAGCACTCTTTTCTTAGAAAGGACTTGTGTCCTTTATATTAGACACTGTGAAGAATACAAAGTAATATATAACATACAATCTCCTCCATCAAGTGACTGATAACCTAATTGGGGACAGGGAGATATATTAATGTCGTATACTGATATGTACCCAACAAGTTGTCAGAACAACAAAATTTCTATGAGTTTAGACAAATGAAGGATCAGCGTGTTGGAATCATCATGGAAAACTTTACAGAGAAGTATTTTTCAAACAGTGGATAAAGACCCATTGGTGATCATGAAATTATTTTAGGTAGTTATGACTAGGCTTTGTAGGATAGAAGTATCAAATACAGTCCATGTATGTATAATTTAATGAAGCTTTTGTTTCAGATGTCTGTGTGCATGTATTTTGCATTCACTGGGACTTGATATAAAATGCATTTCTTATTGTGGGTCATGATCAAAATGTTTAAAGCCACTGTCGTATAGGAGATAGAGATCAAACAGTTCTTTGAAAGAAGAGTAGGACTGCAATGTGCAGAGGGGAAAGTGGTGGGAACTACATGGACCAAGTTGGAAAGCATGTACAAACAAAAAGGAATCAACCAGCCTGGGTTTATGTATGAACATGAGTGAAAAGATTGTGAGAGGGACTTCTGGAAATGTTCTAATTAAACTATTTTTTCCTTGATACGTAAAGGCTAATTCCCTTTAGATATTTTTGGACAGTGAAACCATATCACTCATCTTCAATCACTTTTAGACATTCATTCATAGCTTCAGTATCCTTTTTAGTGCCCTTTGAGAGCCTCTCTTTCTTCCATACCATCACCCAGTAATTCTGATAAAGCCAGCTTCATACACACACACACACACACACACACACACACTTAAGCATCACATACACAATCCCCTATGGGCTTAGATCTAGATGCAAGTAAGTCTAACAGCCTCCAACTCTGCATACACCCAATAATTATCACAACCACAACACCTAATGCACAACCCGGACAACCTCCCAAATCCTTAAAATGCATTACTCCCATCCGTTGCAAAACATATAGTTTGTTAGAGAGCTGGTGAGACAGGAAGGGGCAACACTGCTGCTACTGCCTTGAGTGCTTTGCCTCTCCACAAATGCTACAGCCATGCAAATGTCTGCTGATCAGAACCGCCTTGTTCCAAATTGTCTAGTAATTCATATTCTGCTCAGCAGGAGAGAATGCCAGGAATCTCTGGAGGGGAGAAAAGGAAACTGGAAGAATTCCAGAACCCTTTTGTTATTGGCTCAATTGGCTCAACTGGTAGACATAATGTTTCTGTCTTTAGCTGGAGGTGATTATATAAAGTCTGAGTCAGAAAAGAACAAAAGATTTTTTAAAAAATTATTTAACTACCTGCAGCAATTTTTGTTAAAACACCAAGGAGTCAACCAACAGAGGGAACTCTAGTGGCTTACTCATAATGCCAAGAGGCAAGTCATGAGTAGAAAATGAAGATCTTGAAAAAGAATGTGAAGATATTTTCATGAGAACAAATCCAATCCAACCAAGATAATTTTACCAACCCTACTATGTGTGAGACTGTGATGTCATTTCAAAATAGATTAGTGTGGCCGGGTGTGGTGGCTCACACCTGTAATCCCAGCACTTCAGGAGGCTGAGGGTGGTAGATTACCTGAGGTCGGGAGTTCGAGATCAGCCAGACCAACATGGAGAAACCCTGTCTCTACCAAAAATACAAAATTAGCCAGGTGTGGTGGCGCATGCCTGTAATCCCAGCTACTCAGGAGGCTGAGACAAGAGAATTGCTTGAACCTGGGAGGTGGAGGTTGCAGTGAGCCAAGATCGCACCATTGCACTCCAGCCTGGGCAACAAGAGCAAAACTCTGTCTCAAAAAAAAAAAAAGATTAGTGTTGGGAAGCAAATACTACCATACAGAGATTGGATTCCTTTTTGAAACAATTACCCAATTGCTTTATGCCATATACATATACAGCCTCTGGTCTGATGTTACTGGCTATTTCATCTCACCATCTCTGGGCCCATCACTAAGTGACTTAATAGACTCTTTTCCAGATAAGAGAAGTAGTGCTTAGTACCAGGGTAATGAAATTTTTGTGGTTATCATCTCCACATACACCTTTTTACCACAGAATGTGTGGGTTTTAAACAAGCGTATCAACCTCCATTCCTTGAGAAACCATGGTGAAATTCTTGAATTATTTCTGGTAGGCGCTTTATCTGTGAAATCCCTTCTAGTCTCTTCGCCATTTTTATAGATGTAATCAATTATTTTAGTCAAACAAAATACACTGCCAACTTTCCAGAATTCCTAGAACGATTTTAACTACTAGCTTGGGGTTTTATTCGGCATAAGCATAAAAGTTATTATATTCTAATTGCTTGTGATTGTTACGACATTGAGATTTATTTTGGTTGGTTATTTCAAGGGACTCTTAAAATCAGTTTAGTGACTTCATTCTGGTTTTCCTGATTGATTCTATTATTAGGACTGTGGAAGCCTGGGGCCTTTTGGCCTGACTGAACATCTTGAACAATTCTTTAAACAGTTTGGGTTTGGCAAAACCTATTTTGCCAAGAACATTACCCCTTAATTTTTAAAAACCATATGCATTTTAAGGAAAATGTAACCCATATGTTCCTAATTCCTCTGTACTAAACACATCAAAATGTTTTGTAAGAACTGTTTGATTTCCAAGAAGGCTTATGAGCCTTCCTTATACGATCTTTTAAGTTATTTTCTTTTAAAACAGGAAGTTATTTCTGCCAAGGATGAAGTTACTTAGACATCAAATGTTTCAAAAAACTCATGAACTAAGTGGACAGATTTTGTTTCTGTGGGATATATTCACCGAATAAAGTGGTAGCAAAACACACACGTACACACACACACACACACACAAAACTAAGCTATGAGAAAACTAAATCATATAAAGAAACATTTAAATATATATTCATATATATATATATATTTCTGAATCCTCATACACTGAAATACTTGGTCATGGATTTAGTATTTGACAAGAACACCTGCTTCAAAGGAGTTTTTGAGAAGTATCATTTTATTTTGTTTTGCTTTGTTTTTTAGTTCTAGAGAAGGTGTTCTAAAATCTTATCTGAATATCCCCTTTCATCATGTTACAAGTGAACTTTTACCAGGGGATTTGGAAATTTTAATTTGGTTTACTTTCAAAGAATATTAACAAATCAGAACATGTATATATTTTTACATGTCTGTACGTATGCGCATGTATATATATAAATGTTTGTGTGTATGTTATCCTAGATCTTCTTCTGGGTAGTCAGCATCCCATATTAATCTCTCAAGGAGACTCCAAATCATTGCACTCTTACCCCTCAAGATGGCAAAAACTGGTAATCATTCTTCCCTCCCAGTGAATCTAGATTCATGACTGGTGTGTCCAGTATACACCTGGCAGTTTGCGAGGGCAGGGCTCCCCCTCAAAACCCCCATGGAGAGAGCAAACACAAAATGAAGAAGTCATTTCCATCTTCTCTAGGTTGCAGTTCTTCATCTATAAGTGATAGAAATGGACAGAATTGTTCCTAAAGTTATATTATGCACAAGCATTTTATGAACCAATTTTTAGTATATTATCTAGCAATTCTAAAAGTGAAGGACACAGCATTTGCAATTAGTACTCAGTGCACACATCGCTTCCTGATGGAAACATTTAGGCACTTTGCTAAGAATAAAAGAAAGAAGGGGGGGGAAGGGAGGGGTAGGGCGAGGAGGGTTGGGGAGGGGAGGGGATTCTTCTCTCAAACTTTAGAGGGTTTTAGATAAATAAACATCCAAACAGCTGTAACAATGTCTGATTAAAATTTTCATTGATGAAGAAAGAAAGTAGAAGCTAGAAGTTCTCAGAACTTGACATGGAGATTTTAAAATTGGGATGATAAGGCTCAGGGGATAATTGCCAAGGAGAGTGTCATTTCAGGAAAACTCCAAGAGAGCTGGTCAGAAGAAACAAGGCTGGATATCTTAAGGGGAGGGTAAAAAGTCATTTTTAAAAGTTTAAAGGAAATGTAATGCAAATAAAGGAATTTAAATTTCACTTATTTTGTACCCATCGTGTACTTTCTGTCCTCTCTCTTTTTTTCATTTTTAGAACTAAAGCTTTTGTCAGTTTTGAAATAGAAATATGTAGTGATTGAATTCCTATTTGTTTTTTAATTCCTGTTGCTTTAGTTTGTATACTTAATTTCTACGTAACGCTTTTCTTCCTATTTCTCTATCCCAGTGGACTGCAACTGCCACCAAAAATACAAAAAAAAAAAAGGAAGCAAGACAGGAAGAAAGGAGACAGGAAGGAAGGAAGGAGGGAGGGAGGGAGGTAGGGAGGGAGGAAAGAAGGAAGGAAGGAAATGAGAAATGTTATGGGAACAAAATTCAAAACAGTATACACTCATTATACAGATTCCTGGTTTCTCTGGGCCTGGAGGACAACCTGACTCTTTTGGGACGCACCTATACTAGGGGCCATGCTGAAGCTGGGGGAGGCCAGGGAAACACCAAAGAATTTACTTATGTAATAGTGAGACTGCAGTGTGCTGGGGTTGTTTTTGAAAATATAACTCTTCTATCTGAAAAGGCAAGGACGAGGCCAGTCATAAGTAAGATTCTAAAATTCTGAAGAGTAATATTAGAAAGTGCTATGGGCTGGGTGCAGTGGCTCACAACTGTAACACCAATGCTTTGGGAGTCTAAGGCAGGAGGATCACTTGAAATCAGGAATCCAAAACCAGCCTGAGCAACATAGCAAGACCCTGTCTCTGCAGAAATGTTTCTTTAAAAATTAGCCAGGCATGGGAACATGTGCCTATAGTCCCAGCTACTCAGAAGAATGAGGCAGGAGGATGTATTGAGCCCAGGAGTTTAAGACTGCAGTGAACTATGTTTGTGCCACTGCACAACAGCCTGGGTGACAAAACAAGACCCTGTCTGTAAAATAATAAAAAATTTAAAAAGAAGGTGGTATATAGTCTGAATGTGTGTGTCCTTCCAAAATTCCTATGTTGAAATCCTAATCCCAAAGTGATGGTATTAGGAGGTGGGGCCTTTGGGAGGTGACTAGGCAATAAGGGATCTGTCTTTAGAATGAAATTAGTGCCTTTATTGAAAAAAAACAAAAACGGAGAGCTAGCTTGTTTCTTCTACCATGTGTGGACACAGTAGAAGATGTCATCTGTGAGCTAGGCCCTCATCAAACACCAAATCTGCTGGCCTTGATCTTGGACTTCCCAGACTCCTGTTGTTTATAAGCTACCCAGTCTATGGTATTTTGTTATAGCAGCCCAAACAGACTAGGACAGAAGGATAATTCAGTCCTGTTATGCTCCTTAAGGATTAAAGAATTGCATGAATACATACATATTTTAAAATAGTTAATGGCAGCTCCACTAATAATTCACTATTAAATTCACCTAAAACTCCCTGAATATATATAATCAACAACACAATGTATTTCCCATTATTTCCCATGTGAAACGCTTATTGATGACATCATTAGAAGCAGACCTTATCTGTAAGTCTGATCCAATAGAAAAATATTAATGAATTGTTCTTAACAAGGACCTAATGCTTCGAAACTGTATTACGTCCACCAATATGGTACGATGTTCCAAAAAATTTACATGGGGTTGAAATTTTCTTTCATTTGTAGCTTTTGGCTAAGGCATGGATAAGGAGAACAAAGAATTCTTCAGAGTGAAGCAACAGGAGTATAAATGATCATCTGTTACTATTCCTTTTTAACCTATATTGTGAAGAAAGAAAGAGAGAAAGAATGAAAGGAAGAGAAAGGGAAGGAAGGAAGGAAGGAAAAAAGGAAAAAAGGAACGAAGGAAGGGAAAAAGGAAGGAGGGAAGGAAAGAAGGAAGGAAGACGGAAGGAAGGAAGGAGGGAGGGAGGGAGGGAGAAAGAGAAAGAGAAAGGGAGGAGTCAAAATTTTAAAAAATCCAACAACTTGAGCTTTAAATATACTTAAAAACTGGAATCATTAATCTATCTTGAGCTACAATATTTAGAAAGTTTTATTTGAAAAATAAAGAAAAGAGTGAAGAATACTACAGAATTCTGACTGCTTGAACTCCATTTTTATTTTTCACAAATCCATGTCTGGACTGGCCACTTTTAAAACTACTTTCACATAATTGACCTTGAAACTTTGCCTCTGGGGGAATCACAGGTCAATGTGTGAAGGAAAGTAATGAAGTTAAAGGTAGAAAGTGAATGTAGATGATACCAATGCAAATTTTTCTGACTCATCAAATTTTTTAAAATTCAGCAATATTAACTTACGATCTACGGATGAGCTATTTTACTTTTCACCCATTCACAGTGACTTTGAAAGGCAAAATTAACTAGATTTGAAAAGCTCTCCATTACTAAAGATAAGTTCCATTTGAAGCATGTGATCTCTGTGACCCACTCCCTATTCATACCCCCTCCCCTTTTGAAACCCCTAATAAAACTTGCTGGTTTTGCGGCTCAGGTGGGCATCACGGAACCTGCCAACATGTGATGTCACCCCCGGAGACCCAGCTGTAAAATTTCTCTCTTTTGTACTCTTTCTGTTTATTTCTCAGACCGGCCGACACTTAGGGAAAATAGAAAAGAACCTATGTTGAAATACTGGGGGCTGGTTCCCCCAATAAACTTATTCGATGGTAACTCTAACATGTTTGGTCAACCTTTTCTATTAAGCTGTGCTGAACAATACCCACTTAGGCAACGGTCTCCCGCCACCTCATTCCAATCTGCAGTGATGTCTCCAGATTTGTGATAACGGCAATAACACAAAACAGGCTTTCCACTGTTGTGAGTAAACAGCAGAATTCATGAAGAAGCAAACTGTTTACCCATGTGAGGTGAATGAGCTTTTCCTGAAGAGCAGGATTTAGTGCCCTCAAGGAGGCAATTTATTAAATGGAGCCAGAAATGTGTGCTCATTTTGCTGGTCTGAATAGAGCAAAGGCATCATCATTAAATAGTTACTTTAGGGCACCAAGATTTCTGTATCAGGTATTATGTAAACTTTATTTGTACGTGCACCCAGTCCTCCCAACCAGGAACAGCAACATGACAATATCTACTAGGCCATTCTGCAGGATAGTCATGTATTTACAGTGAGAGAGGAACAAAGGCCTATTCTAGAAGTCAGGACACCTTTGTTTGTGTGACCTACTGTGGGCAAAACACATAACAGTTCATTCATCTGTAAACATGGCGGTTAAACAAGATGATCGCTAAAATCCCCTTCAGTTCTAAAATAAAATTATTGATTCATTTTCCTCTCAATGTGTTAATTTATGTCTTCCAAATTGTATTAAAAACACTTTTATTTCAGTAATGCCTCTTCCCTATTCAGCCTAAATATATGCATAATTACCTTGAACTGAAACAAGATTTTTAGTGCAATATTCTCTTTCCTGTCTCTCCAAAGCATATGGAGAAACCAAAGCAATGCAAAAGTTGTTCTATGGCTGTGGCAAAAATCACTGAACAAATAATTTCCATGCCCAAATAACAAGAGTTGAAGCCAGTTAACTCATTTCTCACCTCCTCTATTTTCCGTCCCCAAAATAGATGATTACTTGCTTATTTTGCAAAGCAGGTGTTACAAAGTTTCCTGGACTTTGAGAAAAAAAAAAAAAACCCACAGATGAAAGTAAAACTTGATTATCTGTTTTTAAAAATGTGTAAATCTATTTTGGGAACTTGATGGACTCAGTCATCAGGTGTTTTGGAGAAAAAAAAAAGAGAGGAAGGCCTGGAAGTCAAGTCAGATTGACTTCAGATAAAATCCAACGTGAAAAATTTTAAACTATTATTGGAAAAATAAAGGAGCTATGTTTATGTGATTAGCTTCCATAAGTCCCTAGTGTTGTATGTCAGAATTCAGGATTCAGCCGCTTAGAATTCTATACCCTCTAATCCTACGTAAAAGTCATCTATGAACGTCTATGTCACCTACGCACTCCAAAAATATTAATTCATTGATTTCATTTTGTTTAGATAAAATTTTCAAAAAGACAAGGAATTATTATGCTTCACTCTTTGGACATGTACACAAGCACCCCAAACACAGCTAAGCTAGTACTTCTTTGAATATCAAAGATCTGCATTACTCCTCTTTGTTTCCAAGCACCTAACACTATGTGCAATAGATGATTTACAAAAATGCATTGCATGCAGAAGAATAAAGTATTTGATGTGCAGTTTTTTTAAGGCAGAGCAAGAAATGAACACTAAGAAATATAAAATATTTTTAATTTACTCGGTAGTCACTGGTGCCAGGCACTTTGCACATTTTACCTTTAATTCTTAAAACTACCCGCTGAGGCATTATCACCTCCATTTCCCCGAAGAGGACATTTCCAAGAGGTGAAGCAAATTGCTCACCATTATATCGCTAAGAATCGGTAGCTTGGTCTCAAGCCCTGTCTGGCTGGCAGCAATGCCTGTGCTCTCTGTTGCAGCCCAATTTCTCTTCTTAGTCACTGCTCAACCATAAGCTGTCCAACTTACATGTAACTTTATGAATACTGTTATAGAAAAGCATGAAGAAAACTGTGTTTTTGCTTCAGGGCTAGCTAATATCTTCCAACCAAATCTCCAACTAATAATCAGTTTGTCTCATGCCTGGGTTGTTTTATTCTGTTTTACTAAAATGTCTTTAAAATCTTTTCTGTCAGAGGAAAAGCTTATCTGAGAAGATAGACATATATAAGTACCAAAATATCAAATAAAAGGGCCATTAAATGTTCCACAGGTGACCTCTAAGCTACCCAGAGGAACAATGGGGGGAAGACGGAGGTTGGGAGAAAGGAAGGACAACTGTCATAGTCTTCCTAATTTAAGTAAGTCCTCAAAACTCAGCTCCTGAACCAGAGGCCTAATCACTGGAGGTCAGTAGACATATAAGTTTCCATCTTAATTAATTATTTGCCTGTAAGACAAGGCCTTGTGGCAGCCTGGGCTTCTCCCTCAGACTGGTGAGCTGGTGAAGGAGGTCACGGTAGTGACCAAGACCTCTCAGACTATGACTTGATGATGCTAGGCCCCACCTTCTCCCACATTTCAAATGCTTGTGTTGCCAAAGCTGAAGAATCAGGTTAGAGCTCCAGGGCTGACTCCATACCCAGCAAGCAGCATGCGGAGCGTAGCAGCTGTGGCCTTTGATCAGAGTTCAATCTTTTTACTGTATGTTCTTAAAACTCTTGTCATCAGGAATGGGGCCTGCTCATTGGAAATGGGGCCTGACTCTTATCGGCTGTACATCCTCCCAAAGGTTAGCGACTTTATCACAATACTTTGGCCATTCACTCCGAAGCAAGCCATATACTGGAATTTCTCATTTGCTCCAATTCTTCATTCATGACACCAGAAACTAACATTTAACTTCTTAAAAATAGTACTTAGAAAATATAAACATCCTTATTACTTGATCTTCTTTCTTCAGCTTCCAAGAGGAGATGATCATAAGTGAAATATGACTAATTTTTAACAATTCACTAAGCTTAAGTTTTATATTTAAAGCTGCCCTGCATACAGATGTATAACAAATGTCATATCCAAATTTGTCATAAATATATAATTAAGACATTTTCCAAGGATTGTGCAAACTGGTCTACATAAATTACGTCACAGCAAACCTAGGAGATAGTAATGGGGGAAAAAAAAGGCTGGGAGAGGTAAGCATGTCCAAAGTTGTGGAGCTATTTAAACAAACTTTGCAAATATCCATAACTAAGTAGATCACTCTCATATCCATTGAGACAAATTAATTGTATCTTCTGAAGTGGCAAGAACTTATCTGAATCATTATTTTTGCTCTGATAATATACTCATCTATATGATAGCCATTTGTTGTACGTGTCCAATTATATAGTCAAAGGTTTAAGGCTGTAGATTCTAATGAAAACTATGAAGTATTTCCCCAGAAAAAAAAAAAAGGCCATCCATGCATCTGCCACAGTTGTCTCCACAATTTCACGGTGCTGGAAGGGCTTCTGTAGCTTGTCTGCAGGCTTGAAGACCCATGTATTTTAGAGGATCATGAGCCCAGACTTAGAACACCTCCCACACTGTCTTACACTACTTCCTCTCTTTCGCAGGCTTTTGCCTTCCACACTTTTGGTGCTGGAGAAAAAGGCTAATGCTGAAAAAGGAAGACATTTGCTCTAAGTGTCTTTAAACTTTGAAACCTTTACAGTCTATGAGGCTATAAATACAGTTTACCAGGAAGCTTGTTTTTCCTTTTTATTATCATATTCTTTAAAATATAAAACCCAGAAAAGACATAACTGTAATGCGCACTCTCTGAGCCGTGACTTTGGTGAGCACTTGGGGAACAGACATGTCTTTATTGGATTGCCTTTGTCTCACAACACAAAAGGCACTGATAGCTCCAGGAAATCCAGATATGTCTGCGTAGGGTGTTTCATGCTGTAGATATTTAAGGAGGTGTGAAAGTGTACATTAGCACTCTTTTTGGAAGGAAAAGACTCTTCTTGCTTGAACATTACTAACATTTAAACATAACTTAGCAGACCAAAATTCAAGGCTATTTAAAATATGTTCCCTTGGTAAGATCTAAAGTTCAGTTGTAAATTTTTAATCTCAGTGTGAAATTCACATGTTATCTCACTTTATGCTCCCTCCTAAAATGCTTTAAATTCTAAACATTCTATTTCTTTCTGGGATATGTAGCAGAAATATCTTAAATCTAATCCTCTGTCCCATCCTTTGTGTCATATTTTGGGACTTTATAATATCTCGCCTGGGTTTTTTTAAGATAGCTTCCTGTCTCATAACTCCCTGACCAAGTCAGAGGGTATTGAAAGACATTAGCTATTTCCCTAATTATTAAATTTGATCATGTCAACCACTTGCTTTAAAATTCCTTTTGGTTCCTATCCCTTTCAGATTTAGACCCAAATTTCTTATTTTAGCTCTCAAGGCCCTTCCAATCTATTTCTGGCCTATTATCCCATTGGTAACTCTATCTAAACTCCTCTCCACTTCCATTAAGCCACCAATATGCCTCTAAATTCATTCCAGTATACTAAAGTCCTCATCATTTTTAAGCACATCAAGATCTGCTATAAAAGATATGGAATCAGCCGGGTGCAATGGCTCAGGCCTGAAATCCCAGCACTTTGGGAGGCCGACGGGGGCGGATCATGAGGTCAATATATCGAGACCATCCTGGCCAACATGGTGAAACCCTGTCGCTACTAAAAATACAAAAATTAGCCAAGTGCAGTGGTGTGTGCCTATAGTCCCAGCTACTCAGGAGGCCGAGGCAGGAGAATTGCTTGAATACAGAAGGCAGAGGTTGCAGTGAGCCGAGATCACACCACTGCACTCCAGCCTGATGACAGAGCAAGACTTCATCTCAAAAAAAAAAAAAAAAAAAAAAGATATGGAATTAACCTAGATGCCCACCAATGATAGGCCAGATAAAGCAAATGTAGTACATGTACACCATGGAAAACTACACAGCTATGAAAAAGAATGAGATCAAGTTCTTTGCTGCAACATGAATGGAGATGGAGGCCACTATTCTAAGCGAATGAACACAGGAACAGTAAGCCAAATACCGCATGTTCTAACTTATAAGTGGTAGCTAAACATTGAATACACATGGACACAAAGAAGGGAACAACAGAGACCTGGGCCTACTTGAGGGTAGAGGGAGGAAGGACAATGAGGACCGAAAAGCTACCTATTGGGTACTATGCTTATTACCTGGGTGACAAAATAATCTGTACACCAAACCCCCACGACACACTATTTACCTGTATAACGAATCTGCACATGTACTCTTGAACCTAAAATAAAACTTAAATATTTTTTAAATTTAAAAAATAAATAAATAAAGACTTGCCATAATAAGAAGCATGCTGTCCCTCCTGGGATATTCTTTCTCACCTTCATCAACTGAAGCTGCCTACTCATCTTTTAAGACTCAGTTCCAATGTCACCTCTTCTGAGGAGACTTTCATGAACTCCTCATATAGTTAGCCTATCTTTGTGCTCAATCCCATTTTCTTTGTAACTCTGTAAAAGCTAGTATCAGCCAGGTGTGGTGGTTCATGCCTGTAATCTCAGCACTTTGGGAGGCCGAGCTGGGTGGATCACCTGAGGTCAGGAGTTTGAGACCTGCCTGGCCAACATGGTGAAACCCCGTCTCTAACTAAAATACAAAAATTAGCCAGGCGTGGTGGCACACGCCTGTAATCCCAGCTACTCAGGAGGCTGAGGCACAAGAATCACTTGAACCCAGGAGGCAGAGGTTGCAGTGAGCCGAGATCACGCCACTGCACTCCAGCCTGGGCGAAAGAGTGAGATTTTGTCTCAAAAAAAAAAAAAAAAAGCTAGTATCATTGAAAGTTTTATGCATGATAATCTGTCTCACCAGGAAGACTACAAGGTCCTCAAAGACAGATGTATGTTATGTCATCTTTATAGAGCCTGCACCAGGCCAATGATTGACATAGCTTAGAAATTATTTGAATAATCAGTAATATAGTAGAGTGAATGTGAGAATAAATTTTTACTGTATTACTATCAATCCCTAAATTGGATGTAAATAAATTACAGTGAAAATGGCCATACTGCCCAAGGTAATTTACAGATTCAATGCCATCCCCATCAAGCTACCAATGACTTTCTTCACAGAATTGGAAAAAACTACTTTAAAGTTCATATGGAACCAAAAAAGAGCCCGCATCGCCAAGTCAATCCTAAGCCAAAAGAACAAAGCTGGAGGCATCACACTACCTGACTTCAAACTATACTACAAGGCTACAGTAACCAAAACAGCATGGTACTGGTACCAAAACAGAGATATAGATCAATGGAACAGAACAGAGCCCTCAGAAATAACGCCGCATACCTACAACTATCTGATCTTTGACAAACCTGAGAAAAACAAGCAATGGGGAAAGGATTCCCTATTTAATAAATGGTGCTGGGAAAACTGGCTAGCCATATGTAGAAAGCTGAAACTGGATCCCTTCATTACATCTTATACAAAAATCAATTCAAGGTGGATTAAAGATTTAAACGTTAGACCTAAAACCATAAAAACCCTAGAAGAAAACCTAGGCATTACCATTCAGGACATAGGCATGGGCAAGGACTTCATGTCCAAAACACCAAAAGCAATGGCAACAAAAGCCAAAATTGACAAATGGGATCTAATTAAACTAAAGAGCTTCTGCACAGCAAAAGAAACTACCATCAGAGTGAACAGGCAACCTACAACATGGGAGAAAATTTTCGCAACCTACTCATCTGACAAAGGGCTAATATCCAGAATCTACAATGAACTCAAACAAATTTACAAGAAAAAACAAACAACCCCATCAAAAAGTGGGCGAAGGACATGAACAGATACTTCTCAAAAGAAGACATTTATGCAGCCAAAAAACACATGAAAAAATGCTCATCATCACTGGCCATCAGAGAAATGCAAATCAAAACCACTATGAGATATCATCTCACACCAGTTAGAATGGCAATCATTAAAAAGTCAGGAAACAACAGGTGCTGGAGAGGATGTGGAGAAATAGGAACACTTTTACACTGTTGGTGGGACTGTAAACTAGTTCAACCATTGTGGAAGTCAGTGTGGCGACTCCTCAGGGATCTAGAACTAGAAATACCATTTGACCCAGCCATCCCATTACTGGGTATATACCCAAATGACTATAAATCATGCTGCTATAAAGACACATGCACACATATGTTTATTGTGGCATTATTCACAATAGCAAAGACTTGGAACCAACCCAAATGTCCAACAATGATAGACTGGATTAAGAAAATGTGGCACATATACACCATGGAATACTATGCAGCCATAAAAAATGATGAGTTCATGTCCTTTGTAGGGACATGGATGAAATTGGAAATCATCATTCTCAGTAAACTATCGCAAGAACAAAAAACCAAACACCGCATATTCTCACTCATAGGTGGGAATTGAACAATGAGATCACATGGACACATGAAGGGGAATATCACACTCTGGGGACTGTGGTGGGGTGGGGGGAGCGGGGAGGGATAGCATTGGGAGATATACCTAAGGCTAGACGACGAGTTAGTGGGTGCAGCGCACCAGCATGGCACATGTATACATATGTAACTAACCTGCACAATGTGCACATGTACCCTAAAACTTAAAGTATAATAAAAAAAAAAAAAAGAACATGGGAAAGAGAAGTAAAAAAAAAAAAGGAAAAAAAGAAAAATTTAGACATTTCTAAATTAATATTGCTAAAATATTTAAATATAGGAGAAAGGAAAAAGGGAAAGTTGAATTTATTTGAACCTTGTAGTCTCTAGACAAAGATGAAATATCACATTCTTAATTCCTAGAATTTTTTTCTTATTTAAGACACAAAACAACATTTTAGAAAAAGCAGCTTGGAATTTAAGAATCATAGGAACATTCTGGAGTCAATATATACAGGTAAGAAAGGAACTATGATAGTAATTCATTAAAAAAATGAAAAAAGAATAGGACTTCTCTCAAATCTTACAGGAATTTGTCCTTGCTGTTGCTGGATACAATCCTGGAAATGGATATTTATTATGGCCTTTTTTTCCTTCCAAAAGAAAGCAATTTAGTGTAAAAAGTAATGTTGAGTCTATTTGTGCCTGTCCACCTTTCGTTTGCTCCAAGATTTAGCCCCTAAATCAAGGCTCTGTGGCTGGCTTACATAGTTCCCCAAGACACCACCTATCCTCAGTAACCCATGGCTTATTCAAACTGATAAGTCTCTGGGATTCTGAATTTTATGGTGCAAGAGTTTAACAATATTTCTCTGAAAGTAAAAATTAGAGCAGTGTTTTTACAATATACTGGAGTGTGAAAAAAAGTGATCTATCACATTTTAGAAAATGTGATTTTTCTGTCACACTTTAGAAAAAGACTTGAAATACTACGAAAGTTAAGTAGAGTAAAATCTTACAAAAAAAGCTTTGGTTTCTGCTGTTTCAATTTAATCAAGGCTTGACCTCCTCTCCTTTCTACCACAATTCCACAAGATACCTTAAGTCTGACTTCTCCATCCTCTTGCATATCCAGGACAACCTCAAATCCCCAGAAAGGCAAATCTCTCTTGCCCTCCTCAATCTCCACCTGCCTATCACTCCCGCTTTCTTTCTCCCCTCCTTCCCCACACCCAACTCAACAGAACCCCAATGGCTAGCCCATATGGTGACTTCATGTAGGTCAAGCATAAGACAAAAGACAAGACACTTTATTGTCATGTGCTAGAAACTTTTGCAATAACTATATAAATATTTGATGACTGTGAGATAAATGGTTTCTCCAAAACCGTTCAATCTGCAAAACTACAAGCAGAGCCACACACACACACACACACACACACACCCCTACCAGGACCACTGGCTTTACAATATCGATGAATCTGGTGGAATTTCAAAAAAGGAAATTTTTTTCCTAGACTTTCCTTAAAAATACAGCGTTCAATTTACTCCATAAAATCCAGGAACATGACTTAGACATCATATGTTTCCTACTATGTCTGGCAGCTGCTGAATGAAAGAAAAGTATACTGACAGCTCTAGAAAGAGTCTCCTTCCCTTCAGTTAGGAAGTCAGGCAAAGAAGGAAGGAATTGGGCCACTAGGCAGCACCCCTGGTACCTCTTTGGAGATCCCTGGGAGAAAGAGATCTGGCCTGCCTACTTCCAGTAACAAGCATTCATAGTGCAAGCCTTTTTAGAAACCTTCAGGCAAGAGTATTGCTGAAGGTAAGTTCTGTGATCTGGAGAATTTACTGTGAATCCTAGAATAGATCTGGATGAAGACTGGTCACCATGCTCCTCTAAAATTAGACTAAGAATTAGAAGACATTAGGTGAATATATGAGAATATAGCCAGGCTCATGAGAGCGGAGGGATTTCTAAGGTGAAGAATAATGGAAAATATTGTGAAGAAGAAATTACTTATTATTATATTGCTAGCTAGCTAGCTGGATAGATGGACATGTAAACTAAAGGGAAAATTTAGGATTTCATTTAATACTAATGAGATAATGATTACATCTGGTTAATATTAAAAAGTCATACAAATAGATATAAAAAGACTAAAGCATCAAAAAGATATAAAAAGTAGCTCATTCATTTATTTATTCATTCAAAACTACTAGAACATCTCCCATGTGGCAAGCACCATCCTAGGTGTTATAAAGACAGCCATGAATAAAGAAAAGTCTATGACATAGATATTCATTCTTCATTGAGAAGACAGAAAATTAAACAAAAAATGTATAACATAATGGCTGAAATGTCAGATAATGACAAATGCTATGAAGTACTTTAAATAAATGATCAGGGAAACCTTTGGTTTTTGCAGTTTTATACATAGAAGGGCAATGTAGTCTCTTTATTTTGTAGAATATTGCTGTGGCTCATGTGTGGTAAATGCATTCTAAGAGGGCAGGAGTGAAAACAAGAAGACCTGTTAGATCATGACTACACTACAACAAGTAAAATCTGATGGCTATGGAGCTATGAGAAGTGACTGGATTCTAGATGTTCTTGAAGGTATCACTGATAGGATTTGTTTTTTGATTCTATGTACTATATGATACTAAAAAAAAAAGATTCAAAAAATACTTTCAGGTTTCTACGCTGAATAACTGGTAAATCACAGTCCCAAATATTAATATTGATCACGTTAAGGGGTGGCAATTTTAGGGGGAAAAAGTTAACATTTGGTTTCAAATATATTAAGTTAATGATGCCTGATTGACATCCAAGTGGAGTTGTTGTATAAGCAATTACATACACAAATCCAGGGGCTAGGTGGAGTTCGATAAAAGAAGATTCGGGATTTTTCAGCAAGGAGATGATATTGAAAGCCAGAGGACACCTAAGATGTCAGCATAGGTGGAGAGGAAGGTCAGAAGAAGCTAAGGGTTCTATCTGCTGGCTGGATGTTGGTGCCTTAAAAACTGTCTATTGGATACAACAGTTTTGCCAATTTGGATGGCTAAATGGATGCATAGAATAGAACCCCAGACCCTCTATGGAGTTTTACATGAGCAAGAAACAAACATCTTAACATGTTAAGCCACTTAAACTTGGAGGTTTATCTGATGCTTTAATTGGTGTTATCATAACTAAAATAGAAATTAGTACCAAGAATGGACACTAACAAAAACAAAACCCTAAAATTGGTGGCACTGGCAGGAGATAACTAGGAAACTAATATCAGAGGCTGGAAAAATGAAACCCCAAGTTAAGCAGAGGCAAAATGTTCAGTAACAATGAAGCCCACGATACCTTTGGAGGCAGGCCACTAACTTCCCTAGCCTGTGTCTGTAGCAAAAGATATTGTAAAATAGAATTATGTGAGCATGCATTAGATGTTACTAGCTTTATTTGGCAAGATATTAGAAGGAGAAATGACCACAAGAAAGAATTATCCAAAGTACACATAAAAATGAAAGGGAATAAGAAAGCATCCAGAAATTTTAAGCCTCAAAAGTTGGGAATGCTTACCTCAAACATTAATACGTAATTTTTGAGATTAAATAATGAACAGTCTTAAGATATAATTATGTGACAAAATTCCAATTGAACCAGGCCTTCAACCCAAGCCTATGGCCTTGGGGTAGATGTCATTGAGTTGAAAAAAAAATAAATGGTGATGAGAAGAAAAACAGATAGTACTACTTTAAGAATTATGTCTAAGAAAGAACTGTGGGTGCGGTAGCTGGCATATTCAACTGATTGTAAGCAAAGAGATGTAAGTCTATTAGTTGCTTTCTAATTTTTTAATTTTTATGGATACATAATAGTTACATATTTATGGGGTACATGTGATATTTTGATACAAGCATACAACATATAATGATCAATGCATAATGGTAATTGAGGGTATTCATCACCAATTACTACAAACATTTGTCATTTCTTTGTGCTGAAAACATCCCACATTTATTCTTCTAGTTATTTTGAAATGTGTCATAAATTATTTTTAACTATAGTAGCCCTATTGTGCTACCAAACACTAGATGTTATTCCTTCTATCTAACTGTATTTTGTAACTTTATCCCCTTACCCCCACTACCCTTCCTAGCCTCTGGCAGCCACCATTCTATTCACTACCTCCACGAGATCACTTTGTTTTAGCTCCTACATATAAGTGAGAACATGCAACATTTGTCTTCCTGTGCCTAGAAGAGACGACAGTCTTATTAATTTTAAAGAAAATTATATTACAAAAACAACCATGAGCTAGGACGTAAAAGCTTTTGGCTGAGCCTTGAAGCAACTCTTAGGCCACCCAACTCATACAGGCAGGAGGCAGGCAGCAAAACCTCTAGAGCCCTCAACTGCCATTGCAGCCACGGCAGATAATAGACAAGCAAAGCTTCCCAGATGGCAGAAGCAGGGGCCCCACAGAACAATGGACGGGAAAATTCCTCCCTGAGAACAGAATCAAGTTCTGACCATGGCACTTCTCTCACTGACAAGACTACATAACAGCTGTCCACAGGATTTCATCATTACCATGGACCAGTGACTACTGCATACATTGCAATTTTCTGTTTTCTGCCTAAGGTATTTATTCCAGTTATCCAGTCCTGGTGCCACCACCCATGTGGCTGGAGTAGAGGAGGCAGAAAATTTGCAACTAATCTAGTAATCTAATAAATAATTGGTAACCTTGCATATTAACAGGTTATAGTAAAGTGTGAAATATTTTGCAAAAATATTACATATATATATACACACACATATGTACACACATGCAAATATTATGGATAACTCTTAAATATATTTTTTCTTTAGCTTACTTCCAACAGACACTCAACAGTTTGACTTTTTAATGCTTTAAGTTATGTCTAATATCAGGAATTTCTGAGACAAGATTCTACAGTATTTTCATGTCATTTTAATATAAGACTTTGTAATCAAAGTCTCCATTAAACTGCTCTAGGCAACCTTGCTTGTCTACACCTATTTCATCTTTATCTACAAAAAGTACTTACGCAAGGAACTTCGTGCTGCCACTACCTCTGAATTATGTATTTTTTCAGGTCCCATAATATAGTACAAGAATAAGGAGGCCTGTAGCTAGGGAAATAGCCCCCTGTGTTAGTTTTACTTCCTCAACATCATACCCAAAGACAAAGATTTGAATGCACGTATTTGGAAATTGATCCCAAGAAACACTGGTTAGAAAGTCGGGGAGTGAGGTAAAGATGGGAAGGAAGTCGGGAAAAGCTACTTTGTCAAGCAAGTTGCCCCTCAGATGACTATAACTTTGTGCCCTGGGAAACTGTAAGATGGACGCTCAACGTGGTGCTCCTCCGTGTTGGTTCATCCACTGAGACCCACAGACCTAATCTTCTGGGTCTGTAATTGAGGGCTGCTCTTTGATGGCACTCTTTCCTCCAGTACTCCCAGACTGCTGCAGGCCCCACTGGCCAGAGACACAGTCATCAGCAATTGGAAGTCAAACCGGATTGTACGAAAATGGTAAGGACACCCGTGATGTGGGCAGCATGTGCTCTATCCACCATGCAATTTGTCAGAGAAAGCACTCATAGGTATAAGCTGCTGAGCTTAAAATATCTGAAACTCTGTCCCATCAGCATTCCTCAGGGTATTCAGGAAACATTATCAGTTAATATTTAGGATTTATTCCCAACACTTTTTACCTTTCAGTATTTAGATGAAAGTTTTCTCACTATTAAGATATTAGCAAACTAATGGCATGCTTTATATCCAGAATAAAACCCAATATTCAGCTTCTAAAACAACTTAAAACAACTTTTTTCTAAGCATAGATGAGGCTGTCATCTCCCTATAGTGCAATCAGTTCTAAATTTGCACCTATAGTATGTGACATTATCCCACTTGTGCATAAATTACATGCATTTCCAAAGGTGCTAGATATTCTTAATTTTCTTTATAGTCCATTTACAAATAGTAATACAACTGGAGGAAGAAGAATATAGTTAAGTTGTATACTGAGTAATATATAATTTAATCATTCTAAAAATTGCCATAGATCAATTTAAGAGCAGATAATGTTCCTGCGAATAACAGAGAACCAATTGCATGTATTTACATCAATACTGTCTGTTTTAGATTATAAACTCCTACAGGGCAGGGATAATTTTGTTTAAATTTCCTTGACTAAAGGCTTAGTACCATACCATGTACTTAAAAAAAGGCTTTTTTTTAATGTAAGTATTAATATTTTGATCCTAACAATGTTCAAAAAATTATTGTATGGTTCCATTCCAGTCAACTGTATGGATTTGGCTTTTTTAAAGTTCTGATATAAGCCGGGCACGGTGGCTCACACCTGTAATCCTAGCACTTTGGGAGGCCAAGGTGGATGGATCACCTGATGTCGGGAGTTCAAGACCAGCCTGGCCAACATGGCAAAACCGTCTCTACTAAAAATACAAAAATTAGCCAGCATGGTGGCAGGCACCTGTAATCCCAGCTACTTGGGAGGCACCAGAATTGCTTGAACCCAGGAGGCAGAGATTGCAGTGAGCTGAGATCATGCCACTGCACTCCAGCCTGAGTGACAGAGTAAGACTCTGTCTCAAAAAAAAAAAAAAAAAAAGAAAAAAAGTTTTTGTATAATCTACATATAGGCTCTGTTGAATATCATGCAAGTTGTTCAGAAGTTGTCTGTAAACTAAATTCTGCCTGAATTATTCTGCCAACCCATATCCCAGCTTCAATTTAATTTAGGGACCAGCATGCTTTGAACAGAAAAGTTACCCGTGGTGGTTATTCACACTGCTCAGTTTTATCACATCCCCTTCTCGTTCAGGCACCTGGTAGAGTTCAACTTTCTGGCTCCCTGAAGCTTGCACAGGGCCCTGAACTAGTTCTGGGTAAGTACAAATGACATAAATTATTTAAGACCAAAATACATAATTGCTGGCTTGAGACTATCCCAAATTCTATTTCCCTCTATCAAAACAATTGGTTATATTCTGAAGAAATGTCTGCTCCATTTCTGAAGTTCTAGAGTGAGGACACATGGAAACACTCCCTACTGATCCATGCCGGAAATTCAGCATGAGTGAGAAGTAGGCCTTTGGGACTGTAAACCACTTAATGTGGGGAGTTGTTTGTTCCTCCAGATCACACTTTTCACCCTAGTCAGCTGCAGGAGGCCAGTCTAAAGAGTCAGTCCATTAGATTTCTTGCCCACTGGCTCCAGATTGGATTATATTATTAGAGAGATCTGGCAGAATATCAGAGGGAAGGAGGTGAATAAGGAAGGAGTATTTATATTCCCTTAGCTCACAAGTTCCCATTTCCCTCCGCGACGACTGTGGCTCTTCTCAAGGTGGCCCCTCCTTAGGAGCCTCTCTTTCCCGGTAATTCACCCCTTCAAGCATAGGGTTAGAAATAGACCCTGTGTTACTAGCCTTGGATACACTCTATCTCATGGCTCACCTGTTTCCCATCTACACCTTTGTAAGTAGCCCCTTTATTGGATATTCTTTGAATTACTCTATTGGAATGAGCCATCTGTTTCCTGCCATAACACCAACTGATACGTTTTTACAGCCTGTACTGCCTGGTTTACTCATTCCACCAATAAAACATGACATTGTTCACATAACGTTCTTCCTGAACGACTGTGGTTTCCTCTACATTCAACCTTGCCAAAATCAAGGAAGAGGCTGGAGATCTAAATTCCACTATCCTCTCAACAGTATTTATACAATAGAACTCTTTCCCCCAGACAATAATGCCGTTATGTCTGAGAAAGCAATGGCACTCCTAAATTACAATTTGTTGCTCCTCTGTCCAACCCCAGCCTATTTTAAAACTGCAGTACTGATTCTTTCGCATCTTAGGGAACTTTGAGAAAGCAAGGTCTTTGATATCATTCCTTCCTCCTCACATTAGCTCCAAGCATCTTCCCCCAGGTTGAGTTTATTTTTGTTTAGTGTGCCGAAAGAAAAGTCTTCAAAAAAATAATGTTCATAGAGAGTTGATTAGTGATTCCAGATACTGGATCTTGATAGGCCTGACATACCTTCAGTATCTTAATAAAGCAATTCATTTAGCTAGTTAAGAAATGGACAGATCACTTACCTACTTAGAACCCCAGAAAGACTTGTTTCATCTTGCACTTAAGAGTTCAATGACATCACCTTAAAAAAAATCATAAAAGGATCTCAAATACATACAATAAAATTTGAAAAAGAGAGAGAAACTAGTAAATTACAGATTATCATCTATGAAGTATGTTCAAAAGCACAGTTTAACAAGCCTATATTTAAAATTACTACAAATAAAAGTGATTTTGCCATTAGAGGTAATTTATGTTTTATGTACGTTTGACTTATCAAATTATCTCCTAGAAGTCCAATCCAAGTTTGTTGGAGACAGATAAACATTCTATCTCCCTAAAAATTACTGTTTTGTTTTCCTTTCCTGGATAGTGCTTCTTTATCCTTGATTTCTAACATTTGTGTAGCATTTCACAATTTCAAATCCTTTTCATATACGTTGGTAGTTCTTAGCCTTTTGCAATTTGTGGAGACTTTTAAGGATCTGATGACAATAATGAACATTCTCACCAGAATTTCATGCATGCAATGTTGGAGGGTTCATTGATGTCCTAAAATCCATCCAGGGTTACTAACTCCAGTAATCCATAGGTTAATCCTCACAACATCTCTATGAGGTAGGTATTGTTATCACTGTTTTTTAATTAAGAAAATTAATCTGCATGGGGTTCAATTACTTGTCCAAATCATGCAGGAGAATTTGGTGTTAAACTGAAGCCTTTTGACATGACAACCATGTTTTTCCTTGTGTCTCATGACAGCCTCCTACTTTTGTTGATGTGAATCGACACCTATATTACACTATTTTATTTAATGAAGGTACAGTCAAAATCTACTAGATAAGAGTCCCAAACATACAAAATTTTCTAAATAAATCAGGCTAAAAATCTCATCTGATCTCCAAATCATAGATCTATTTTGCTTTTAGATTCAGTTAAATCTCTAATCTATAGAAGTCATTCACTCAGAAGCATTTCAAGCTTATCCCATGGTGCTATGCAAAATTAAAAGCAAATATCTATTCCCAAAACATAGATGTGGTTCACATTTTAAACAGCTCTCACTTTCTCTGTTTTCCTGTCAGTATCCATGTACATCCAGCTTGGACTCTGGATCCATGGCCATAGTCCCTGCCTGTTTGGTCTTCCTTCATTTACTTCAACTAAATTCTCAGATTTTCTGACCAAGGATACCCAAAGCCTCTATTTTACTATTAGGTCGAGTCATATGAAACTGTAATCAGCTAGAAAGAGTAGAATATTGTCAGTTTAATAACATTCAGTTTTGTTTAGCTTTAGTGTCCTGACCTGTTGATGTTCAAGTCTTATGGGGAAAAGAAGAAGAACATGATTCCAAGAAGACCTGGTTCTAATGCACTGTGCCATTTAGCAATTGCTTCAAGAGAAACACTTAAATTCTCTGGGTAACAATTCCTTATCTGAAAATGAGGACAATATGATTCACAATTGTGTCACAAGATTGTGGGGAAATATTCCACATGATAATATCACCTGCGAAAGTGCTTCAAAAATTGTTAAAGCACTATACACATTTAGGTTGCTGTTATTATAGTCAGCAAAGATGCCTTCACCAGCAAAAGCAGCATTAATTTTTTTTTAAGAGCAGTAGAATCATATGTCCACTAAATTACTCACTGCAAATGTCCAGCCATCACTAGTACCCCTCACATGTTGGTGCTGGTTTATTTATATATATTTATTTACATCACATTGTGATGACTTGCTTGGTCAGCTTTACAGAAGAGCTGATGACCTGGTTCCTACATTGAACATAAGCCAGCAGATGAGTCACTTAAGAGACACAGAGAAATTGCATGATGTAATTGTCTGCCCACTGAAATCACATAATGAATTTACTATCTGGTATTAAATTACCACTTTGCCATAAACAACACCAACCTAATGGTCTTAAAAAATAACTGAAATAAAGAAGGGAAAGTTATTTGTAAATAGTGTATGTGAGATTTTTAAAGATATTGTGGTAAAATTGTGTTTTATCAGAATTTTAAAAATGCACTAGGGCTTATGTTTAACAACTTTCCTGCCTTCTAAAGGTTGAGTAAACAATATTGCAGTATGACTTTCAACATCAGGGCCAAGCCCTTCAGTAAATAAAGCCAAAATGAATTGTATCATTGACTACAAAATGTGCACGGCAAATATAAAACATGAGTAAAAATCAAGTGGAGGCATCAAAGACCTTTCAGCAACTGTTTTCTAGGCTTGTAAAATTCAGCTGGAGAAATTGGTACAGAATAAGTTTACAAAATAATGAATTTCCTACTATGTTATAGATCTTGAAGAAAAAATCAAAATAAAATGCAATTCCTCAAAAAGGCCAGTTTTTTATGATTTGACACCTAACTTATGACCCTAAAACCAACAATAACTGCTGTCACTTCAATAGCCTTTGTAAACATTTCATGGTCAGGTTCTCTTAGGATGCAAATCTGTAACAATTAAACAGTTTATGAATAAAACAACTCAGGACATAAATCTCAGGTTTCAAACGTGTGTACAAATAATTTTTACTTTATCTTTTTTTACAATTCATTTCTGTCTTGAGCCTCCATTCTATTCAGTAGTCAAATTTAGGGTTAATCAGTCAGTGCAGTATTTCCTCAGTCTGTGACTAGCTTGACGATATTCTCTACTCACTCATTATCCAAGGGCTGTCACCTTAGTTTCAAGGAGTCTATGTGGTGCCACTGAGGTGCCATCCTCAGTGAGAATGGGAGGATGTCATCTTCTCTCCCCATGATCAGATGATAAGGCATTCAAATTTTTCCTGTTTCTGGCCGTTGGTATCTAACCATATCGCCATGTGCCCACTCTCATTGGGTCTTAGATCATTGCTTCATGGAAGTCACTTTGCATCTTTTAAGACTCTGCTATGAGGACCCTTCATGTCCACTATCTCTGTCTCTCCTCTATTTATGTGCCTCTGTAAGGAGGAGGTGGAGGGGAAGAATAAAATATACAATGCAATATGTTGGTAGATAGAGTTTAGAAAGGACTTCTTCCCTATTTAGAGGATAAACCTAATGGTTCTCTCTGCTTTTCTCATACTGGTCATCCCAAGCTTTACCCACTTGAGTATAGGCTTTGGATTCAGAGAGTGCATTCAATCCCAAAGTCCACCACTTTGGAAAAGTTTCTACTTTTACCTTGGATACCTCATCTACAAAACAAGTATAATAGTATCTCCCTCATAGGGTTGTTGCAAAGATTAAAGGAGATAATAAATGTAAAAATAATTAGAGCATTGTATGATGTATAATAATCATTCAATAAATGATATCTATTGTCATCATTATCTCTCCTCTCTCCATGCGGTCCTCCAGCTTCTCCTACTCATAGCAATGCATCAATTTATATGACTCCAGTCAAAAGACAGCAGGGTCAACCCTGAGTTTATTAATAAAAGTGGAACACAATGTTGGTTAGGAGAAGACATTTTTACAAGATCCCAAGTGTTGGTCTCAACCCTTGCATACATGAGTGTGTGGCATTCCTTACCACTGTAGAAAATGTCCCCACATGCCTAAAATATATCATTCTAATGTAGGCATAGAGAGTTACTATTTGAATCCAGTCATTAATACCTATTTAATGTTATAATCACCAACCACAGTTGGATATTGTAAGTAAGGAAGGAGATCAGTATGAATTCTGTCAGCTTTCATCTGTTTCTTTTCCTGAAAGTATCCAATTTTAAATCCAAATAACCAGTTCTTCCAAAGTATTTACAGTGAAAAAGCACCAAAGATTAAATCAATCCAGAATCACCTCATGAGTAACTAGCCCAGTAAGTTAATTACAGGATTCTTTGTTGCTCTCTTTTATTGTGGGTAAGAGTTCTTGATGCAATATTTTTGGTTAATTGAAGATTTTCTTTAAAACTATGCAAGACAGCCAGCAAATAGTGCATTTATGTATGTAATAGAAATGGTTGTAATATATCATTAAGACACTCCAGGGCATGTTTTATTGGTTCATTAATACAGTACATGCCTTAGGTGTATTCAACCACTCGGGCCCTATATTAATGGACCAATAAAATGTACCCGGGAGTGCCTTAATGCTACCCTAACATGGCTAAGTTTAAATTAATTTTTTCAGGCTTATCTTTTTAAAAATTATTTTTTCCCACTTGGGAAGATAGATTCCTTTACAGGGGGGAAAAAAGTTCATAGTAACAGAATAAGAAGAAGCAGGATAATAAAAATCTTTTGGTTTTATCAGTTTTCCAAAATGGCTCATCCTTTCATATGGTTCCATTTCTAATCTCCTGCATTCCATTCCCAGGGTCTTCTCATATCTTTCATAGAAATCAATAATCTTGTGGCTAGGAGCAGGAAACTAATAACTATTTCTTTTTGGAACTAGGAGATCAAGAACCAGCAAATGTCATGTCTACCCATAAAAGCCCTGTTACCTTTCAATCTTTCACTGGGTCAGAACAAATACTTACCTTGCTTTTTCATCTACCTCCTAGCACCTTCTGTAATCAAGGAATGATGCTTCCTCTTAAAAGGAAAACAATTCTTTCATCCTTCTCTTTCTGCTTATCATCCACATTATACTCCCTCACACAGCTTTTTAGAAATTCTTGGATTCTACGTTGGGTTATTTAGGAATCCACTTGATAACAGAAATTTGAGGAAATCTGAGGAAGGTATAAAAGTGTTTAACCCAGCTCCAAACTGAGTTAAAAATCTTAGCCTTACTGTGGACTTACTGGGTGATATCGGTCTAAAAGTTTCCAGTTCCTCCTCAGCAAAAGGACAATAATGTCTGTCTTACAGGCAGAGCATGAATACTAAATGAGATAATGCATGCAAAACACGAGGTATAAAGCCTGGCACATTGAGACCATGGGGTGTTAGTGGTAGTTTTTGTTATTAACTTCTGAAATGCCACTGAAGAAATGAGGATGGATGACAACAGTTAAACAGTTTGGACTTCCCCAAGAAATGCTGACAATTTAGCCATCTAGAGTATACAAAGTAGATGCCCCTTCTCACCCTCCTCCTTTTTTTTTCCTAAAGCACAAGACCTTTAAGGGGTGCCTAAGAAACAGAGTACAGAGTAGGGCTTCCTAATTTCTTTACCAATGGTTTAATTTTTCTTAAGACTGTAGTCATGTAGAGATGTTTATCACCACTGATGTCATGAATGTCATAAATAAGTACTACAATGTGGAAAAACACCATTCTTGACTAGAACTAGAGTCTCTGTCTTCAAAGAGGTTATCTTTTAGTTGAAACAACCAAATATATGAAGAAGTTTAAGTAACAATACAAGATAGATTGTATGTGCCACAGGAGTTTTTTATTCAACTTTAAAAATAATGGAAGAGGGTCCTGTGAAAAAGATTAATCACAAAAGGAGTCAACCAAGATGCAGGATCTACACAGCACTCTTAGTTTATTGAGGAAAGGGGTAAATTTTGAACTGGGCATGATGAACTGAAAAGAG
Organism: Homo sapiens; assembly: GCF_000001405.40. Lineage (NCBI taxonomy): Eukaryota > Metazoa > Chordata > Mammalia > Primates > Hominidae > Homo > Homo sapiens. The sequence goes on along the minus strand of NC_000006.12, from coordinate 8,553,164 downwards.
AGATGTAGAAGTAATTCACCTTGGGGAATGGGGCCAAAAATAATGTAATTTTACCAGCGAGCTTTTGATGAACAATATTTGGGTCAGAAGAATCTTGGAGAGCACTAGTGGGAGATGCATTTGGGCTACTCCACCTTTCAGGTCGTAGAAAACGAATACAGGAATTTTGGTCAGGGAGGTGACATAAAATAAAAGCAGTATTTTAAAAATATGTTAATTACTGTGATGCCTAGCATGAACTGGAAGGAGGTGAGATGGTATCAGATAGATCAGTTGAAAAAGGATTATCATATTCCATATTTGAAGTCGTTGGATCCTAAATAAGAAAAACATGAAATAAAATAGAAGAAGAAAGTTCAACAAAAGTTGATAAATATTTGATTGTAAATATGCAAGGGAGAGGAAAGAGAAAGCAAACAAGAAAACCAAAAAGTTGAAGAAATGGGAAAATTATATAACTATTTGCTCCATTTAATTTGCTTAGCATAGAAAAAATAATTTTTCAATATGAGCCTCACATGTTCCTAGAATAAAAAAGGCTGAGAAAGTAAAAGCACTATCATTATTTAAAAATACAGTTAAAAAGTAAATAGCTCAACAAAGGTGGGTCAGTTGCATGTATTAATTTAATGTATGTAGAAAAGTACACTTTGTCAATCATCATAGCACAAAATATAGCAACTCTGAAAAACCTCATTTCTTTCATTTTGCCGAAATGATTTTCTTCATCGGAACCCTGACTTCTTCTTTCCACTTACTTAAATAATATTTATTTTTCAAGGCCCATCTTCTCTAAGAAAATTTCCTTGACTGCTCAAACACACATTGAGCACCCTTCCTTCCTTGAACTCCTGGAGCCTTTGCTGAATTAGCCACTTAATTTAGCACTAAATTATGCATGGCAGCAGCACACAAGTCAGCATAATTATAAGAGAAAGAGGCAACAGTAGGGAATAGAGCTCACATTTCACAAAGTTTACCACGCCTACTCCCGTTTCTCCAAAAAGAGGAATTCTATATACAGTTGGAAGAATGGTTGCATCATTGCAATGTGTATATCTACTCTCAGGATAATTGCATTATAAAATACTACATCTCCATTTAGTGATTCAAGTAAAACATGAATTCATTAGATCAAAGTTGCACCTCATTATACCCATAGATTTACATGTTTGAGAGATAGGAAGGGTGCCTTTTATTAATTTTTTTGCCCAATTTGCACAGAAGAAAATTACCATAAATATGTGATGATTTACTAGGAAATTTCAATAATTATGTGAACCCTTTAAGAAACTATATACTTTAATTTTCCAAATATCTGCCCCAACTCAAGGATGGTATAGCCAAGGCTGTCCCAGCAATGACTGCCAGGGCCATGTCTTCCAAGGAGCCATAGCAGGGTGAGACGGAGCATTTGGGGAAGAGGGGTCTGCCCATCAGAGGTCATCCAAAGTAAGAAAATCCAGAAAGTCAAGAGAAGCCAAAATCCATTAAGGAAAGCAATGAGTAAAAGCTAGAGAGAATAGTATTTGGAACTAGAAGCCAAAGAGCCAGCGGCATATCAAAGCTGGGGTACATTGCCAAGAGTCAGAGCTGAGATTAGTGAGAAAAACATCCAGTGATAGCCTATCAGTCCTAGTGTTGCAAATTTAAAACAATTGCTTAAAAATAGCTTTGGAACATTTGAGACTAGATTTAATCATACTGAGTTAAAGACATTGTTCTCATTTATCTTGACACCCTTTTGTTTTTGCATTTATTTCTACTATCTTTTGTGTGTCTAGACACAGTCTCAAAGATGATTGTTAATTTCAATAATTTGCCCCAAATTCAAATTTTAAGTTTTAGAGTCACTATATTGTCTCTTTACTATGTACATTCATTTTTTTAACTCTCTATACAAATTTTGAAAACTACACATTACCCATAAACCTTGAAGCTGACAATACATTTTCATGATCATTGCACAATGATATCATAGGGAAACAATGTCATTATTAATTTAAAACCAAATAGGAAGACAGAAATTTTATAGATTTCCAGTCACATGGCTCAAATTCCATCATCAAATAAGAATCTTTAAGTAGATTTCAGTTTTGTCAATAACTATTCAAGGTCATATTTTAGAATCTGAAATTCTCCCCTCGCCCCCCATTATCTCTGTAATTTAGGCTCAAAAACTGGATTTATTACAGATGGTCTTCTACACTACCATGGAAATAATTGTACCAGCCTTTCTGGAAGGCAATTTGGCTATGCATACTAAAAGCTTGCAAATAACCTTATCTCTCTATCAGAGAGATCCTGTCTGTGCTGTGTGAATTTTTCCTAAGGAAACAATCATGGATGTTGAAAATATTTGTCTATAAGGAGATGTCCATCACATCATTGGTAATTATAGCTTTTTTAAAAAATCCAAAGGTACAAAATAAGAGTGTGGCTAAGTAAACTATAAAAAATCTATGTAATGAAATTAACCACAAAAAAAAATGTTGTGGAAAAACATTTAATAAATATAGAATGATGCATTACTAAGTATATGAAAAAATCATCTTCTCACATAGTCTGATCCTCACATAGCATTTAACATCTGATCTTCTTAAAACATTGAAAAAGAACAAGCAAGAGGAACCTAGTTGATAGAAAATGTTAGAATTCTTTATTTCTGTTTGTTCTTAGAATACAGCATGAGCTCCTTCCTATATTAAACATCCCATATGACTATCTAGTTCCTCTCATTCCAACTTATTATTAGCCACTTTCCTTTCTGCTCACTACTGTCCACTCATTTGTGCTCTGTTCCTGAAATGTACCAGTGGTCTTGCAGCCTTGGGGCCTGGCCATTTGCAGTTCCTTCCAACCAGAATGTTATTCTTCCATTCACCATCCCTACCGCCTCTCCCTGACTCTCCTTCAGACCTCACATTAAAACACATCCTCACAGGAGCCCAACCCAATCCCCAGTTTAGAATAAGTCCATTATTAGATATCCTCAAAGAACTCTGGACCCAGTTTTCACAGCGTTTAAATCTATTTTAATCATTTAGTCATTTTGTGGCAATCTGTTTAGTATCTGTTATCTCTAATAGACCAAAAACTCCATAAAGGTATGAAATGTGTATTTCATCTATTAGGCATCCAATAAATTGTTGCTGAATGAATGAAGTTATGGGTATTATTTACTTTTTTCTCTTCTAAGTTTCTACAGCAAGCATGTGTAACTTTTATAATAAGAAAAAGCTTAGTTGCCAAAAAAGTCTAATTGAAATATTCTAATACTAAATAACATCAGGATTAGGAAGGTCCTGGAATTATTCAGTTTATATCCACATTCCATTTTCTTGCTAAGATAAACTAATCATTACTTTAAAATCAGGATTTAAATATCTCTGTTACATATTTTGAACTTGAATTTGATTTCCTATTTTTTCGCTGTAACCATTAGAAGCTCCTCAAAGTAAGAACATAAAATACCAAGCAGGAAGTCTCCGTGTGTGTGTGTGTGTGTGTGTGTGTGTGTTGAAAAGAATTTTGCCTTAAGTTAAGAAGCTACTTCTCAGATAGTAAGTACTAAAATAGGAATTTCATGGGTCAGATCAAAAGAAGAGACAACTCTTAAACAGTGGAATGGTCCATTGGTATGTGCGAACTGATATTATCTTCTACTTCTTTCTTTCAGCCTTGACCTATGTAACAAAGAATTTGGTTTTCACTATTCAACCAATGTGAAAATGACTGCCAACCTTCTACATGATCCACAGTCTTAGTCTGTGATTCTTTTTTGATGAGAACAGATCCTTGTGTTTGTACTTGTCTTCGTTTTTTTTTTTTTCTGTCTCAAGTTGCTTCTCTGTTTTTAAGCACATAAAATGTATTTCAACACTTAACAACACAAGAAGTGTAATCAAGAGCTACAAAAACGTTCCAGCTAAGTTTCCCTTTTGAAGTGATAACCAAGTATTGCTACACAGGCGGACCCCCATGGAAGCTTAATAGTATGTTATAAAAACCCTTTTCAACACTAAACAGGAAAGTAAACCTGCCAAATTTACTTTAAAATATGAAATTAATTTCCTGCTGCAGTCTCACTGCCAAAATAATTTCATCCAATGTTGAAGGTTCGTAAGTTGAATCTTTTCCTAAAAATTGGAAATTAAATGCTGTGTTTCTAATTAAGCCTCAAGTTATGATTTCTACTTGAGAAAAAGAACAAATATAGTTACTTCCTCTTCAGGGGATCTGAATTGTTCAATATGTGTAAGGTTCTTGATAATATTTTAAGTTTATTATTAACCTGGCAGAAAACAGTTTCATAACTGGGTGTAATTTTAATAAAATAAAATATAACTGCATTATTATAAATGCCTCTTCTTGACTTTCTCCTAATCTGTCCAAATTCAGTGCTTCTGGTGGAACCACTTGAGTTCACATAGATTTATCTCACCCTATAAAAGCACAATTCATTAAATAGACTAGTCTATTTAAACTAAGGCAATTTTATCACAGTCAATTTAATTATTTAACACTGCTTTTTTAACTCACTACTTAAAGCTTTCTTTTGACAAGTATTTCTTTAAATAAATGAGTTGTAATTTAAAGAATGAAAAAAGATCAAGTCGCCTTACAATATATGCAATTAGCCTATAGGGAGATGTTTTGCTGATACAAACCTAAGTTTGATTTGAAAGTTTAACTGAATCTCAAGTAACAGAATCCACCAAGGTTATTTTTCAGCAGAAATAAACAAAAAGAAACTTCCTATGTGCAATTAACTTTACTTTCCTGTGTTGGTTGCATTTTCATTTAAAGGGGTAACATTTTGGCCAAGTCTGCATAATTAAACAATCAGTGATCATCTGAATAATTTATTTTAAAGATAATGTAATCTGAAATATGCAGAACCGACTTTCTCATCCTACTAAATGATAATCTGGTTAGTGACTCTGTAAAGTAGTTATAAACCATGGAATGAAAAGTTTAATAATTGCCTAGTTGAGTGTTAACAAAAACAAGATTTGCACTACAGATTAAACGAGCTGGGTAAGGAATGTTGCCATAATTAAAGAAAAAAGAATTCAAATGTGTTTGGAGCACTGTGCGTTTGTCAAGCAGTGTCTTCATCAAGGCAATATCATTAGTTTTTCATTTGTGTTATCCAAAAAAAAATAAGGTGAAAAGGTTCAAAGGAACATGCTACATTGTCTGTCATTTTATGAAAGGATTACTGCGATGTACATGCAGCTTTTGATATGTGATTTATGAAATGAAGCTCATGACTTTTAGTCAGATTTCAGGTAGCCTTGCTCCTAAATAGAAATACTCAAAATATATTATTGTGACTCAGATGTTTCAGGCAAAGGGAATTCTTGGTACTTGGCCTTTCATATTTTTGTTTATCTTTCTTTTTATTATTAAGAAATAGCTAAAGATGACCTTCATTTATCCGGTATAGCCACTCCCTATATTTTAGTAAGCAACTCATTGGAGCAAATTACTTCTGTTAGTATCGATTAGAGAATCAATAAGTTTTATCAAAAACAATTGAATAATTGTCCAGAAGTAAACTCTTCATTATACTGGAATCACCTAGAAATTAAATGCTGTATACTGAGATACATCCAAAAAGGCAGTGTTAAACTTAAGGATAGCTCTGTATGCCCTCAGACCTACTTTGCCCTTCTATATCCTAAAAATGAAATACATACTTTTTAATGAAGCATAACAATATTTTCATAGGACCTAAGCTCCTATGAAACCAATCACAGTTTATAAAAACTAAGAGCTAGCCAGGCACGGTGGCTCACGCCTGTAATCCCAGTACTTTGAGAGGCCAAGGCAGGGGGAATCCTTGGGCTCAGGAGTTCGAGACCAGCACGGGCAACATGGTGAAACCCCGTCTTTACAAAAAAAAAAAAAAAATCAAAAATTAACTAGGCGTGGTGGCTCATACCTGTAATCCCAGCTACTCAGGAGGGTGTGGCAGGAGGATCGCTTGAGCCCAGGAGGTTGAGGCTGCAGTGAGCCGAGATGGCACCACTGCACTCCAGCCTGGAAGACAGATTGAGACCCTGTCTCAAATAAAACAACAATAACAAAAAAAAAAAAAATAAAAGCCAAGTTGGAGATCATCCTGAAAGCTTCATTTGGATGTGAATTCACGTGTGTTAATTACCTCATTTAGGAGTACAAAGGTAAGCCAAGTTATATCTGGAGGAAAATGACAGAAAAGTCTACATGAAAATTTCCAAACAAAATGCAGTTGTAATTGTGTGTGTTTACTTTAGTGACCTGTTTCATGCCCATCGTTCGCCTTCTGCAGTAGACGTGTCCGGTGTCCCATCCCAGTCAGTTCTGTCTCTGCCCTAAACATTCAGTTTAGTTCTCCTATGCATCACCACACCACTGATAAACAGCGGCCAAGATTGAGGACACCCCAGTGTGTGGCGAGATTCTTGTAGCTGACAAAGCTGATAATGGCAAAATCAACATTCACGAAATAGTTCTCCACAACAAGGACCTAAATTATTCATCCTGGTTTATCAGAAAGTACAAGGATGTATCTCTCTGAGCTATCTCTAAATTCCAATTATATACTCTCATTCCACATTGAAAAGTAAGGATTGCAAAGGCCTTTGAACCATCACATTGAGCAACAAATGGGTTTTAAAAAGGCTTTTTGGACATACTTCATATTAAAAATATTACAATAATATATATTATAATTATAAATGTAATATTACATAGGCAAATATGAATTTATCAGTGAATTCTCAATAGCATATCTTATTTAAAATGGTATAATTGGTTTTTTTTGTTTGTTTTTTTTGTTTTTGTTTTTTTTTTTTGAGATGTAGTCTTATTCTGTCACCCAGGCTGGAGTGCAGTAGGGCGATCTCGGCTCACTGCAACCTCCACCTCCTAGGCTCAAGTGATTCTCCTGCCTCAGCCTCCTGAGTAGCTGGGCTTACAGGCATGTGCCACAACGCCTGGCTAATTTTTGTATTTTTAGTAGAGACTGGGTTTCACCACGTTAGCCAGGATGGTCTCAATCTCCTGACCTTGTGATCTGCCTGCCTCGGCCTCCCAAAGTGCTGTGATTACAGGCAGTAAATACTTGCACAGCCAATTATTTGTTAAAATTGTATGTGCTACAAAGTGGTGTAGGGTGGGTTTGGGATGGAGAGTAAAGAATGGACTTCACTTTGAGATGAGACCTAGTCCAGGACATCAAGGAAGTCTCCTTGGAGAGGTTCCATTTGAGATGGGTCCAAAAGTTGACAGGAATTCAGCAGAAAAGGGAAAGAAAGAGCATTCAAGGCAGAACTGTTGGGCTCTTTACAGGAAAGCTGACTAGAGAGTAGAGAGCTAGGAAGTTTTGCTCCAAATAGACTGGTAGAGTAGGCAGCAGCCTGGTCATGAAGGACCAGACTAAAAGGGTAGATTTCAAGATTACAGCCCTGAAAATGAATTACATGTGAGCAAAAAGCCAACTAAATGAGCTTGTAGGATATGCAGACAGAACTGAGATTGGAGGGTGCAGAAGTGAGAGTGATGAGGAGGGGAGGGAGCTGCCTACAGCCTTTCAGGAAAATCATGTTTTCTTTTGGCTTGCCAAGAGTCTCGCCTCAGGCTGTCTTTGACTTCTTGTCTTTGTAGCCTGAAATTATATATTCCTGTCTCATCATTCTGTGGGTGCTTCCTGCCTACTTCTGGAGGTTAACCAACCAAGTCTACAGGAACACACACCACCTAGCTCTGTCCATGTAATATACTACAGAGGGTGGAAATGCACAATGCTTAAATCTTCACTTGTCCAATGGATGTTTAACTCATTCACTATTTCCATCCTCACACAATGAAGACAGGTGAGCCTTTGGACTCTGCTACTTCAAGATATTTAATTAATTAAATACCAAGGTATGTTATTAAGAGTAAGGGGGAGAATGAAAGCTGTTTTGCTCAACTAAATGATAGACTCTCATTACCTTCCAAAGAACTAAATACCTTTTTTCCCCTTTCTTATGAAATATGGATAGAGATATGATTCTCAAACCACTTATGTCTTCAAGATTTAGGCAAGCTTTATAAAGCTTTGCGTATGAAAGTCTGGGAAATTATATCCCAGTTTCTAATCTAGTCTGTGGTTTTAATTTTTTTCTATAAAAGGATATTAGAAAATTAGTTATCTATTTACCTCTCATGGGTTTAACAGATAAAGATATTGCATTTTTGAAATTAAAGGAAGCTCATAATTAAACATTCATCCTAATAAAAGACACCAATCTTGAAGCAAAGGCTACTCTTTATAGAGTTTTT